>NT_187667.1:0-274009 GCF_000001405.40 Homo sapiens | reverse complement strand
GAATTCACCGTTGTGTCTAAAGCATCTTCTTGGAGACTGTCCCTGCACGGCTGGACAGTCCACAACCCCTTAATGTTAGTCCATCCCTCTTGGGTTTCTGAGGGATTCATCAGGTCCTGTGATTTCTAGTCACAGACTCGTTTGTAAAGCATGACTTTCTCCTTAACTGCCTGCTGTTAGTCATACGACAATCACCTCCATGGGGTTGGTACGTGGGTTGTAAGCAGGTTGACCTCAGTAAGTTACAGCTGCTGTCTGTGGCATGTCCAGAGGTTTGCAGAGAGGAGTCCAGAGTGGATATCAAAGATCAGCCCCTATGCATGCAAAGAACCCCAGAAACAAGAAAATGCCCACACACAATTGTCAGTTCCAGAAAGACTCGGAGCTTGTCTTGCCAAGCAAGAGACAGCAGCAAAGCTTAGCACCTCTTGACACCGTAGGCTTTTAACCTAGTGAAATGGTACCAGCCTACAACCTCTTGGAGAAAAGACTATAAATGAGACAAAAACAGACTGGATCTTGATCCCTAATTTGTCTTTTATTATTATTATTATTATTATTATTCGCCGTTATAGTCCTTGTTCCTTTCCATGCTGGAAACACCTGTCAAGTTTTAAATCCGTTTGCGTTCAGCCACGTTCACAGGCTCCCCAGTGACAGTCTGCGAATTTCAGGGGTGGTGGTTGAGAAGCGAGGAGATACGGTAACAAGTGAACGTCCTGTTCACTCTCTTGTCTCAGATGTTTGAATGATTCCAGCTGTCAGTAGAAGCATTCAGCTAATGATGCCAGGAAAAGCATCTGAAATGTTGTTTAAATAACCGGAAAAAATCTATGCTGACCCACAGCCAATATCCATTTGCTGAAATTAAAGGAATTCGGAAATCAAACATCGTCAGGTAGGGGCAGCATGGGCTGGGATTTTGGAAACTCACCTGTAATCTTCTCTATAAACATGGGACTGCAATGCAGAGAGTGTGTGTGGTGATGTGTGCAGGACAGCCTCAGGCTCCTTGGGGCGGGCCGCCGGGCGGACGCTCCCTCTCCTCACATCCCGGGGTATTCCTTGGGGTTCTCATTAGGACACAAGAAAATGTTTGCCAGCGAGGTGAAAGGGTGGGCTCTCTTTCCAAACAAGGTAAGCGATCCTTCTGCAGCGTCTTTTGCTGTCTTGTTGCAAGAAACAAGAGGCAACCTGGGTTGGTAGGGACCAACCTTTGGGGAGTGTCTCAGGACTCTGGTTTGCACAGGGCAATGAGCAGGCAGGGGGGACAGGTGAGCAGCTCTCCTGAGAGGCTGCAAAGCTCTTCCAAAGAACGCAGGTGGAGAATGCAGGTGATGCCTCATTCAGGAGGAGAGCTAGACAACACATTTGCAAGACAAGGACTCCCAGGGTTGCCCCACAAACCAGCAGGAGCTGGGGAAGAGGCAGGTGCCTTTTGGTTGGATACGTGTCTCTGGTTCCTGGTTCCTGGCAGGTTGCTATCATGTGACGTTGGTCAAAGAGAGTCAGTTCCTCCTTTTGGAGGCATCTCCCTCGACGCCTCCAGGAGGAATCAACCCTTCCATTCATGTGCCCAGCATGAGCCCTTGAAGCAGAAAAATCCCCTGCTGATGGAGTCCTGGAAGTAAGTCCCAACGGAGACTCATCAGTGAGTAAGCAGTGCCTGTCAGGCCTCTGAGCCCAAGCTAAGCCATCATATCCCCTGTGACCTGCACGTATACATCCAGGTGGCCTGAAGCAATTGAAGACCCACAAAAGAAGTGAAAATAGCCAGTTCCTGTCTTAACTGATGACATTCCACCATTGTGATTTGTTCCTGCCCAACCCTAACTGATCAATTGACTTTGTGACAATACACCCTCCCCGCCCTTGTGATAATGTACTTTCTGATAGTCCCCCACCCTTGTGAATGTATTTTGTACAACACACCCTCCCCACCCTTGAGAAGGTACTTTGTAATATCCTCCCCCGCCCTTAAGAAGGTACTTTGTAAAATCATCCCCACCCTTGAGAAGGTACTTTGTAATATCCTCCCCTGCCCTTAAGAAGGTACTTTGTAATATCCACCCCCACCCTTGAGAAGGTACTTTGTAATATCCTCCCCCGCCCTTAAGAAGGTACTTTGTAAAATCATCCCCACCCTTGAGAAGGTACTTTGTAATATCCACCCCCACCCTTGAGAAGGTACTTTGTAATATCATCCCCACCCTTGAGAAGGTACTTTCTAATATCCACCCCCACCCTTGAGAAGGTACTTTGTAATATCCTCCCCCGCCCTTAAGAAGGTACTTTGTAAAATCATCCCCACCCTTGAGAAGGTACTTTGTAATATCCTCCCCTGCCCTTAAGAAGGTACTTTGTAATATCCACCCCCACCCTTGAGAAGGTACTTTGTAATATCCTCCCCCACCCTTAAGAAGGTACTTTGTAAAATCATCCCCACCCTTGAGAATGTCCTTTGTAATATCCACCCCCACCCTTGAGAAGGTACTTTGTAATATCCTCCCCCACCCTTAAGAAGGTACTTTGTAAAATCATCCCCACCCTTGAGAAGGTACTTTGTAATATCCACCCCCACCCTTGAGAAGGTACTTTGTAATATCCTCCCCACCCTTGAGAAGGTACTTTCTAATATCCACCCCCACCCTTGAGAAGGTACTTTGTAATATCCTCCCCTGCCCTTAAGAAGGTACTTTGTAATATCCACCCCCACCCTTGAGAAGGTACTTTGTAATATCCTCCCCCGCCCTTAAGAAGGTACTTTGTAATATCCTCCCCACCCTTGAGAAGGTACTTTGGAATATCCTCCCCTGCCCTTAAGAAGGTACTTTGTAAAATCATCCCCACCCTTGAGAATGTCCTTTGTAATATCCACCCCCACACTTGAGAAGGTACTTTGTAATATCCTCCCCTGCCCTTAAGAAGGTACTTTGTAAAATCATCCCCACCCTTGAGAAGGTACTTTGTAATATCCACCCCCACCCTTGAGAAGGTACTTTGTAATATCCACCCTGCCCTTAAGAAGGTACTTTGTAAAATCATCCCCACCCTTGAGAAGGTACTTTGTAATATCCTCCCCCACCCTTGAGAAGGTACTTTGTAATATCCACCCCCACCCTTAAGAAGGTACTTTGTAAAATCATCCCCACCCTTGAGAAGGTACTTTGTAATATCCACCCCCACCCTTGAGAAGGTACTTTGTAATATCCTCCCCACCCTTGAGAAGGTACTTTCTAATATCCACCCCCACCCTTGAGAAGGTACTTTGTAATATCCTCCCCCGCCCTTAAGAAGGTACTTTGTAATATCCTCCCCACCCTTGAGAAGGTACTTTGGAATATCCTCCCCTGCCCTTAAGAAGGTACTTTGTAAAATCATCCCCACCCTTGAGAATGTCCTTTGTAATATCCACCCCCACACTTGAGAAGGTACTTTGTAATATCCTCCCCCGCCCTTAAGAAGGTACTTTGTAAAATCATCCCCACCCTTGAGAAGGTACTTTGTAATATCCACCCCCACCCTTGAGAAGGTACTTTGTAATATCCACCCTGCCCTTAAGAAGGTACTTTGTAAAATCATCCCCACCCTTGAGAAGGTACTTTGTAATATCCTCCCCCACCCTTGAGAAGGTACTTTGTAATATCCTCCCCCACCCTTGAGAAGGTACTTTGTAATATCCTCCCCCGCCCTTAAGAAGGTACTTTCTAATATCCACCCCCACCCTTGAGAAGGTACTTTGTAATATCCTCCCCCGCCCTTAAGAAGGTACTTTGTAAAATCATCCCCACCCTTGAGAAGGTACTTTGTAATATCCTCCCCCGCCCTTAAGAAGGTACTTTGTAAAATCATCCCCACCCTTGAGAATGTCCTTTGTAAGATCCACTCCCTGCCCACAAAAAATTGCTCCTAACTCCACCACCTATCCCGAACCTATAAGAACTAATGATAATCCCACCACTCTTTGCTGACTCTCTTTTCAGAATCAGCCCACCTGCACCCAGGTGATTAAAAAGCTTTATTGCTCACACAGAGCCTGTTGGTGGTCTCTTCACACGGATGCCTATGACAGTGCCCAGGTGTCAGTCCAGATCCAAAGATCTGGAACCAGGAAGGCAGGCAACAGTGTGGAGTGGAGAGTCAGGAAAGAAATTATGAATGTTTGAGGCTGCTTGCTGTCAAATGGCAGATAAGGGGATGTGGTTCACTTCTCCAAAACTTCTACTGCAGGTCAGCAATGCACATAGAGCAAATTTATGGAATGATGCTGGTGACAGAAGTGGAAATCAATTTCAAAGAAAATGTATGAGTCAGCTGTTGCTGTGTAACAAGTGACCCCCAAACTTAGCAGCTTAAAACAACATGCATTTATTATCTTATGGTTTCACTGGGTTGGGAGTCTGGGAGCAGCTTGGCTGGGTGCCTCTGGTTCACAGTTCCTAGCAGGTTACTGTCACTGTGTCATCCAGGGCTGGGATCTCATTTGAAGGCTCAACTGGTGAAAGGCACACTTCTAAACTCACTCATGTTGGCCAAAGATGGCCAGTTCCGTATCATGTGGACCTTTTTACAGGAGAACTTACAGCATAAGAACTTGCTTTCCCTAGAGCAAGGGCAGAGACAGACAGAAACAGAGAGAGTATGAGAGACAGGGAGACTACAAGAGAGATTGAGAGAGGGAGATTGAGAGACACAGACTGAGAGAGAGAAGTTGCAAAAGAGAAATTGAGGGAGAGAAGCTGAGAAAGAGATTGAGCAAAAGAGATTGAGAATGAGACTGAGAGAGATTGAGATTGAGAGAGAGGGAGGTTGATAGAGAGATTGAGGGAAAAGTTGATAGAGAGAGAGAAGAGAGAGAGAGGAAACCAGGAATCCACTGGTACCATTTAGGAAATGAGAAACCATCAATTTTGTTATCACTTCTATTGCTTGTAACCAGTAGAAAGAATGAGCCAGTCTACTCAGGAGAGAGAGAGAGCAAGAGAGCAAAGAAGTGCCACACTTTAAAACCATCATCTCTTCTGAGAATTGACTCATTTATCATGAGAACAGCATGACAAAAACTGCCCCTGTGATCCAATCACCTTCCACAAGCTCCCTCCCTGGACACATGGGAATTACAATTTGAGATGAGATTTGGGTGGGGACACAGAGCCTAACCGTATTAATCATTAAATCAATGATAGGCCAGGTTTGGTGGCTCATGCCTGTAATCCCAGCACTTTGGGAGGCCGAGGTGGGCAGATTTCCTGTCATTTGACCTAGGACCCACCCTACTCCAGGATGATCTCATCCCTAGATCCTTCACTTAATAACATTTGCAAAATTGCTTTTCCCAAATAAAGTTGCATTTGAAACTTCCAGGTGGACATAGATTTGTGGGGGGACACTTGGAGATGGCTCCAACTCCCATCCCTGCTGATTGGCAAGCAAGGCTTGTCCAAGACTCTGAGATCACAGATGATCAGACGTGTGATTTTTAGTTTTCCTACTCCTGCACTAGGAGAGATTATAGAGGGATGAAGAAGGAAGGTCAATGCTACTCCAACACCCCAGTTCTCTCTGCCTGTTCACCAGCCTTGTTTTACACCAGAGAAAAGAGGTGTAAGAGTTGACTCATTTATCTTGAGAACAGTATGGGGGAAACTGCCCCTGTGATCTGTCTCTCTGTCTCTGTCTCTCTCTGCAGTTCTTCTCTTCACTCAAGAGAAGAAGATGATCCAAGCATGAGATTACCAGGAAACGAGGACTATTGGGAGCTCTTCCAACATGGCTGCCTACCGCAAGAAGCCAGCTCGCTCCAACTGCTGCCAAGTCTACTGAAACCTGCCGGGAGTGAAGTCAGAGTCTGGCTGGGGTGTGTGGAAGCAGTCATTGGCCTCACCTCGTTAGACCCCGTGGATGTATGTGTCAAGACACACTTTGTGGATTTCCTCTGTTGTTGGGCCTGTCCAACCCTGTGCTGTAGCTGGAGCAGGTTGCTGAAGCTTGATATTAGAGAAGTGAAGGTGAGTTTTGTCCCCAGGGAGGCTTTCATCACCTCCAAGTCCCCAAGGAACCAAGGTACCTTCCAATCAAATCAAGGAGCATAGAATGTGTCTCAAACAACCTAACCCTACACAAGAGATGTATCATCATCATGGTTGTTTGCAGTAGCTGTCTTATACCCAGCATTGGCCATGGGCCAGCAATTGTGGTAAGCTCTTCCCTACAGTATTTAATCATTAGGTTATAATTTTTTTTTTTATGGAGTCTTGCTCTGTCACCCAGGCTGGAGCGCAGTGGCGTGATCTCAGCTCAGTGCAATCTCCACCTCCTGGGTTCAAGCGATTCTTCTGCCTCAGCCTCCCGAGTAGCTGGGATTACAGGCACCTGCCACCAGGTGAATTTCCTATTTTTAGTAGAGATGGGGTTTCACCACGTTGGCAGGCTGGTCTTGAACTCCTGATGTCAGGTGATCTGCTCACCTCGAGCTCCCAAAGTGCTGGGATGACAGGCGTGAGCCACTATGCCCGGCCAATGAATACACTTTTAAAACAATCACAAGTAGAGATTTTCTACCTTAGTTTTCCAAATATATGATATGTCCTCATAATTTTGTAGTCTCACATTAAAAAAAAAAAAAGTTGTATGGATGGGTACGGTGGTGACTCCCATCTGTGGTCCCAGCATTTTCGGAGGCTAAGGCTGGAGGATTGCTTGAGCCCATGAGTTTGAGACCAGCCCGGGCCACCTAGCTAGACACCCCCATCTCTACAAAAAATAAAAATAAATTTAAAAATCATTGTCATTTGCTTTGCTTCCATTTATTATGTGTATTTCACAATCTGCCTTCTTTTTCTTCAAAGCAGGTTTGTCGGGCTATAACTGACATATCGTACAATGCATCTATTTAAGGCACTCAGAGTCACTTTTAGGATATCTTTATCACCCCCCAAGGAAGCTGACTTGCCATCTTCAGATCCCTCCCTCCGTAGTTATCCCATCCTTGTTCCCCCAGTCCTAAGCAACTACTGATCCACCCTCTGCCCCAGTAGATTTTCCTATTCTGGACATGTGATTCGAATGGAATTGTACAATCTGTGGTCTCACTTTGCTCCTTTAATTTTGGAGAACACACACACATACCCCAGTCATGAAGATCAGCACCCCGGCACGTACAATCTGGCCTTATTCTATCATCTTCCAGAAAGCGCTGGCGATCAATTAAAAAGGCAGAACTGCAGAAACAGGGGTCTTACGTTGTGCCCTGGAGGTGACGGAACTGGATCTCTGTCAGATCCGGAGAAAATTTGCAGAGACCAACCACAGGCCACCCCGCCGCCTCCAGCATTTAGGTTTTTAGAATTGGCCTTTCTATACACCTTCGTTCCTTTTAATTTTGTCATTTTACCCTTTCTGAATATTCTTCGTGGCACCTTTTAGAGGATAATACAGTCTCCCCCGTCAACGAAAAGGCAGGGATGCTATATAATGTCATTCTTGGAAACAGGTCGTTTCTGTCCTTGTACGGTGCAGAGATGACAACACGATTTTTCTGTAATTCCGGTACGTTTTTTGACCTGTATTCCCCTGGGACTTGCAGATGTGGCTGGCTGCATGAGTTTACAATTCCGATGAGATCTCCACGAGCCATAATTTCCGGGGAATATCAGGTCCACTGAGGGTGATTAACTAGTTTCCGCTTGGACAACTGGGTCACTGGAGAAGCTGAAAATGGGCTCTCAGGTTTGGGGGGCAGCAAGGGAGACACAGGGACACAAGTGTTCAATTCAATTGCTATAGATCCACTCCTTCCATCCTGCAAAAGCTTGGACGTTTTGGTTTTCCGGAACATTCCGGTCATTCTCTCTTAAGAAAATGAAGCAACTTCATCTTGGCCTCGCGGGACAGGTGTCTGAGAGGAGGAAAGAAACAACTGCCTGTCTCGGGAAAATCATCTCAATTTCTCTGTTCTTGAAATCATCTTCCTCCTGCAAGAAAGATATCTCTGGTCTTACCACCTCCAAAGACATGAGACAACTTTTCTGGTTGAAAGAGGAGAGAAATTCTCTGTATTTCATGCTTTCTCAGCCCCTGAAGAGCCACTAAAACTGGGAAGATCAAGAATACAAATAGAATTTAAAAAATAAAGAGGATGGACCGGGGGCGGTGGCTCAAACCTGTCATCCCAGCACGTTGGGAGGCCGAGGCGGGCGGGTCACCTGAGGCTAGCAGTTCGAGACCAGCATGGCCAACATGGTGAAACCCTGTCTCTACTAAAAATACAAAAAAAAAAAAAAAAATTAGCTTGGTGTGGTCGCTCATGACTATAATCCTAGCTACTCAGGAGGCTGAGGCAGGAGAATTGCTTGAACCTGGAAGGCGGAGGTTGCAGTGAGCCAAGATTGCACCACTGCACTCCAGCCTGGGCGACAGAACGAGACTCTGTCTCCAATAAATAAATAAATAAATAGGAGCAGATATAAAGATAGCCAACCAGCAGCCCTAAGGGGTACTCTGCCTCTGGAGTAGCCATTCTTTTATTACTTCACTTTCTTAAAAAACTTGCTTTCACTTAAAAAGAAGGAAGAAAGAAAAGAGAGAAAGAAAGAAAGAAAGAAAGAAAGAAAGAAAGAAAGAAAGAAGAAAGAAAAGAAAGAAAAAGAGAGAAAGAAAGAAAGAAAGAAAGAGAGAAAGAAAGAAAGAAAGAAAGAAAGAAAGAAAGAAAGAAAAAGAAAGAAAGATGGAAGGAAGGAAGGAAGGGAAGGAGGGAGGGAGGGAGAGAGAGAGAGAAAGAAAGAAAAGAGAGAAAGAAAAAAGAAAGAAAGAAAGAAGGAAGGAAAGAAGAAAGAGAGAGAAAGAAAGAAAGGAAAAGAAAGAAAGGAAAAGAAAGAAAGAAAGAAAAAGAAAGAAAGAAAGAAAGAAAGAAAGAAAGAAAGAAAGAAAGAAAGAAAGAAAGAAAGAAAGAAAGAAAGAAAGGGGATCCACATGTTATAACAAACCAGCCAAATCTTACACTAAAATCCAGGCTCCTTCAACCAAAGGACTGCCAGGGATGAAGATCAATTTACAAAAGTCACCTCCAAACATTAGCCTCCATATTCTAAGCAATCTTATCTTTCAATATCACCTCAGCACCTGTTTTGTTTGGTTTGGTTTTTTGTGTAAATTGGGAAACAAAATAGCTTTGCTTTGTGTTTTAGCTGTTGTCATTATTTCCACATAAAATGTCACCCATCAAGACCCATGCATTTCTTTTCTTTTTGTTTGAGATGGAGTCTTGCTCTGTCATCCAGGCTGGAGTGCAGTGGTGCAATCTCAGCTCACTGCAACCTCCGCCTCCTGGGTTCAAGCGATTATCCTGCCTCAGCCTCCTGAGTATGTGGGATTACAGGTGCGCACCACTACGCTCAGCTAATTTTTGTATTGTTAGTAGAGACGGGGGTTTCACCATGTTGGCCAGGCTGGTCTCGAACTCCTGACCTCAGGCGATCCCCCTGCCTGGGCCTCCCAAAGTGCTGGGATTACAGGCGTGAGCCACCATGCCTGGCTAATGTTTGTACTTTCAATAGAGATGGAGTTTCACCATGTTGACCAGGCTGGTCTCGAACCCCTGACCTCAGTTGATCCGCCCCACGTCAGCCTCCCAAAGTGCTGGAATGACAGATGTGAGCCACCAAGCCTGGCTACTGTTTGTATTTTTAGTAGAGACGGGGTTTCACCATGTTGGCCAGGCTGGTCTCGAACTCCTGACCTCAGGTGATCCTCCCGCCTTGACCTCCCAAAGTGCTGGGATTACAGGCGTGAGCCACCGTGCCTGGCTAATTTTTGTATTTTTAGTAGAGCGGGGTTTCACTATGTTGGCCAGGCTGGTCTCAAACTCCTGACCTCAGTTGATCCGCCCGCCTCGGCCTCCCAAAGTGCTGGAATGAGAGACGTGAGCCACTGTTTCTTTCCTATGGCAACGATTTTCTTGGGACTCCCCTACTCAATAACTACAACCTCTACCTCTCCCTCGTCCTGGCTGCAGCCTGAAAAACGTGCATCCTTTGCAAGTCTTGGGAGGGGATAGTTTTATGTCCATCTATGCGTGTTGCCTGTGTGTGTAGACACAACCAGACTCCGTGCAGAGAAAAAGCTGCACCGTCCGGCTGCCAAACAAAAGGTCCCAAGTAAATAAATAAAAAATAAAACTTGTGAAAAAATCATCCTTGTCCACGTAGTTTTCCTAGGCCGGCTACAGCTGGGGGGCATGTTACCACGGCAACTGTGTTCACGAGCCGGGCTGTTTCTGCAGCCAGGGGTCTCGGGTGGACCAGCGAGCCTGTATTCTGCGTCTCCTGAAATGTGTCAGAAAACATCAGGAGGGGAAGGCCGGTGGTTGCGGATTGCCATAAATTTATAGCTAATCAGGTCCTTAGCGGCAGGCCTAATGGTAGGAAGGGGTGCAAGGCATGTGATTGGAGGTGGGCAGGGGTGGGAGGTGGGTCAGCGACCTGTACTTGGAGGGCAGAGCAGGATGCTGAGAATCCCAGAGACAGGGAAGGTGTATGGAGCTTTCAGCATTTTTACAGGCCACTCGAATGGGCCTTCCTCGCAGCCCCCTGCGTTCCCTTTGCCAGATGCATTGGATTGCATCACTGACAGAGATACACAGACGGTGCACCCGTGGCTGCTCTGTGGAACTAAAACAATTTCTGCCCTGGATCTCCTGGGTTTGGGTGACACTTTCAACTCAGAGCCAGCTGACCTACCTAACACGGTGCGTCTTCTCCTACAGCACCGGTGGATGCTTGGACGGCAAAATCATCTGTTCCAATCTGCAGAGGAAGACGAGTTATGTCCAGAAGGGTTGGGGCTGGAAATTTAAAAGCAAGAAAGTGGGCTCCTCCTTTTAAATAATCTCCTCCCATAGAAATGACATAATAAAATAAAATAGTAGGTTGCAAAGGCATCTGTTTAAGTAACGAAGGAAACCTTTCCCTGATATTCATTTTGAGTAATTCCCATGGAGTTTAGCAGTTTTGTTATTTTAAAACACACACACACACACACACACACACAGTGCAATTAAAAACATAATTTGTAGAACACAGTCTTTTCTGATATACTTGCTTTTCAGTATCATGGAGGGTTGGGGCTAGAAATTTCGTACGAAAAACGTGAGCTCCTCCTTTTAAATAATCTCCTCCCATAGAAATGACATAATAAAATAAAATAGTAGGTTGCAAAGGTACCTATTTAAGTATCGAAGGAAACCCTTCCCCGATATTCATTTTGACTAATTCCCATGGAGTTTAGCAGTTTTGTTATTTTAAAACACACACGCACACTGCAATTAAAAATATAATTTGTAGAAGACAGTCTTTTGTGATATACTTGCTTTTCAATATCACGAAGGTTTGGGGCTAGAAATTTAGGAGAGAAAACCTGGGGCCCCTTTTCTTCTTTTAAATAATCTCTTCCCATAGAAATGACATAATAAAATAAAATAGTAGGTTGCAAAGGCATCTGTTTAAGTAACGAAGGAAACCTTTCCCTGATATTCATTTTGAGTAATTCCCATGGAGTTTAGCAGTTTTGTTATTTTAAAACACACACACAGCCCCCACCGAGTACCATTAAAAAGAGTATTTGTACAACTGTGTTTTCTGATGCGCTGTTTCTGACTACAACAAAACAATGTATCAAAATACCCAAGCGATGTTTCAAACAGGGTGTACTGCACGTGAAATGCTTTCTCTCCAGCAAGAAACAGCCAGGAGGTGTCTTTGGGGTCCTGAGAGAAAGATGAAGATGTGGATCCTATTTAGAGAAGGCTGTCTTTCTGGTTTTTCAACACACGCCGAAGCTTGGGAGTTTGCGGTGGGGGTTAAGAAGCCGGTTCCAGGGTTTGTTATGGCTCATGACTTTTCTTTCAGCAAAGTTCCTCCAGGAAACGTCGCCTGCCTTTTCAGTTGATTTTGATTGTACGTGAAATGTCTACGGCTTGAGGATCCGTAATCTTGACGCTTTGGTGACCGATTCAAACAGTTGTCACCTGTAAACGGTCAAGGAGGTGAGGCCGGGCGCGGTGGCTCACGCCTGTAATCCCAGCCCTTTGGGAGACTGAGGCAGGCGGATCACGAGGTCAGGAGTTCAAGACCAACCTGGCCAACAGGGTGAAACCCCGTTTCTAGTAAAAATACAAAAATTAGCCAGGCGTGGTGGCGGGCACCTGTAATCCCACCTACTAGGGAGGCTGAGGCAGGAGAATCGCTTGAACCCGGGAGGCAGAGGTTGTGGTGAGCCGAGATCGTGCCACTGCACTCCGGCCTGGGCGACAGAGTGAGAGTCCGTCTCAAAAAAAAAAAAAAAAAAAAGTCCAGGAGCTGGACAGAAACGCAGACGACCAGGGCTTTCCGGCGTGTAAAGGTGACAGGAGTCAAAGGCAACGAGGATTCTACGCAGCCAGTCTCTCCGGTCGTCTGACGCAGGCTAATCTGTGCGCGTGGCAGCTTGGCGTCCACGTCTGAGTTTATTTTTATTATTCATTTATTTATTATTTATTTATTTATTTATTTATTTATTTATTTATTTATTTAAGATGGAGTCTTGCTCTGTCGCCCAGGCTGGAGTGCAGTGGCGCGATCTGGGCTCACTGCAAGCTCCACCTCCCGGGTTCGCACCATCCTCCTGCCTCAGCCTCCCGAGTAGCTGGCACTACAGGCGCCCGCCACCACGCCCGGCTAATTTTTTGTATTTTTAGTAGAGACGGGGTTGCACCGTGTTAGCCAGGATGGTCTCGATCTCCTGACCTCGTGACCCGCCCGCCTCAGCCTCCCAAAGTGCTGGGATGACAGGCGTGAGCCACCGCGCCCGGCCCCACGTCTGACTTTTACAGCAAAAAGCCATTGCTCAGACCCCTGAGGCTTGGATGATCACCTAAGGAAAGTTCTCACAGATTTTTATGTGCATAAGATACAGCAGGGCCAGGCACAGTGGCTCACACCTGTCATCCCAGCACGTTGGGAGGCCGAGGCGGGCGGATCATCTGAGGTCAGGAGTTCGAGACCAGCCTGGCCAACATGGCGAAATCCCATCTCTACTAAAAACACAAAACAATTAGCTGGACATGGTGGCACGCACCTGTAATCCCAGCTACTCGGGAGGCTGAGGCAGGGGAATTCCTTGAACCATGGAGGTGGAAGTTGCAGTGAACCAAGATTGCACCATTGTCCTCCAGCCTGGGCAACAGAGCAGGACTCCACCTCAAAAAAAAAAAAAAAAAAAAAAAGAGCAGGAGACAGAACAGCATCCTACATTTCTCTAACCAAGCACAGAAACATGTTAATCTCAATCACTGATAGTGAGGAAAACAAATCATCCTGCGTAGCAGGTGGAATAATATCTCCCCCACACAAATAATTTCATCTGGAACCCAGGACGGGTGACTTATTTGGAACTACGGTCTCTGCAGATATAGTTAGTTATAATGAGGTCATCCTGGTACTCCATTTAGGGCTGGGCCCTAAATACAATGACAGGTGTCCCTGTAAGAGACAGAAGAGGAGACGCAGACACAGAGGAGAAGGCCACGTGGAGATGGAGGCAGAGACTGGAGTGATGCGGCCACAAGCCCAGGGACACCTGGAGCCCCCAGGAGCTGGGAGAGGCAGGAAGGAGCCTCCCCTAGAGCTTCTGATGGGAGGAAGGTCCTCAGACAGCTGGATCACAGACTGCTGTTCTCCACAGCTGGGAGAGGATGAATCTCTGCTGTTTTGACCTTCCCACTCTGAGGTCATGGTCTTTTGTTCTGACAGCCTCAGGAACTCACACAATCTTCTCTCCACCATGGTTCTGAAGACAAACCATATCCCTGCCATTTCTTGCTTTTTCTTTTCTTTCTTTCTTTTTTTTTTTTTTTTTTTGAGACACAGTCTCACTCTGTCACCCAGGCTGGAGTGCAGTGGCACAATCTCAGCTCACTGCACCCTCCACCCCCTGGGTTCAAGCGATTCTCCTGCCTCAACCTCCCAAGTAGCTGGGATTACAGGCATGCGCCACCATGCCCGGCTAATTTTCGTATTTTTAATAGAGACGGGGTTTCACCGTGTTGGCCAGGCTGGTCTCGAACTGCTGACTTCGGGTGATCCACCCACTTCAGGCTCCCAACGTGCTGGGATGACAGGCATGAGCCACTGCACCCGGCCAGGCTGTTTGGACTCAGGTGTTTTTTGCACTTTAGCACGCGTTGGAGGCTTAGGGGAAGGAGAGGGAGAAGTCTAAAGACATAGTCTCACCCGTGCTCCAGCAATGAAAACGTCGCTACAGAGGTAGCAAAAAAATAAAAATAAATCAGAAAAAAACAGAAGTAGGAGGTGAGAGTCTCACTCTGAATGAATCTATCTCAACAAAAATGCCCTCAATTTTGAGCAGGAAGATTGTTTATTTTATTTTATTTATTTATTTACTTATATTTTTGAGACAGAGTCTCACTCTGTCACCCAGGCTGGAGTGCAGTGACACGATCTCGGCTCACTGCAACCTCCGCCTCCTGGGTTCAAGTGATTCTCCTGCCTCAGCCTCCTGTGTAGCTGGGATTACAGGCATCTGCCACCACATCCAGCCAATTTGTGTGTTTTTAGTAGACGGGAGTTTCACTAAGTTGGCCAGACTGGTCTTGAACTCCTAACCTCAGGTGATCGACCCGCCTCAGCCTCCCAAAGTGCTGGGTTGACAGGCGTGAGCCACTGTGCCCAGGCATCGTTTATTTTACTGTATAAAGTCAGTTTCGTTTTGTTTTATCTTATGTGTGATTTTATTTTTTGTTTAAAATAAATACACTTTAAAAATCTATTTGTATTTGACTCAGCGGCTTGCAGTCTCTGAGGCTGCATTTTTGAAACATGAACTACAGAACCAACGAATGGTAAGACCGAATACAAAAAAGCTCAGACCCAGATGAAGGAAGTGGCTTATAACCTCAGCAAAAATCCTGCCAACATGTTGCTAATTCCACATTTTTTCACAATTATTCTTCAGGGGTGGCGGGAGGCTGGTAACCTGTTTTGCCTTTTGCTGATGGGGCAGTGGAGGCTAATATTCAAAGGCAAATGCATAGATTCCTGGCTGGGCGCGGTGGCTCACGCCTGTCATCCCAGCACTTTGGGAGGCCAAGGCAGGCGGATCACCTGAGGTCAGGAGTTCGAGACCAGCCTGGCCAACATGGCGAAAACCCATCTCTGCTAAAAATACAAAAATTAACCGGGCATCATGGCGGGTGCCTGTCCTCCCAGCTACTTGGGAGGCTGAGGCCGGAGAATCGCTTGAACCTGGGAAGCGGAGGTTGCAGTGAACCGAGATGGCACCATTGTTGCCCAGATTAGAAAAAATACATTTTGGAGAGCATAGCTAGGTAAGATTGTCCACGCCAGGTGTTAGCTTTGTCATTTTACTGCAAACTGCAAGTAAACTTTCACACGCTGCCCGAGGTCCCACATATATGACAAGAGGTGTTCCTTTGTCTTATAGGCATGGATCTTATTAAGTACAGTTTTTTGGTTTTTTTTTTTTTTTTTGGTTTTTTTTTTTTTTAAGAAGAAAATGCATTTGGTTCTCTACGTATTCTTAATGTCAGAGAAAATTGTATCTGGGGCACAGTGGCCTGGAAAATCCATAAATCAGCATTCCAAAACAGGGTCATGTCCTGCCTTGGACATGGAACAGAAATCAAAACAGACAGGGTCCACCTCTGCAGGGCGGGTATACCTTCCCCAGTTACAGGCCCCTGAGCGCCCCGTCTTAATAGCCGGAGACAGGGATGGAGGAGGGAGGTGGGGAGGAGCTGGGGCGCCCGGTGCAGGGCAGAGTGTCAGCCCTGCAATTACTGTGGACTCCAGAATCCCCCTCGGAGGGAGCACGGATGACTCATTCTCCCTGCAAGGCAAAGACCTTCCTATTATCACCGAGACCTTGCAAAGCTCAAGGGGGCAGACGGCATGTTCCTGCTAGGGAGGGGTGCACAGAGGGGCCTGGGAGAACTCAAAGCCGGGGGCAGAACGATGGGCGTGTGGGAAGCAGGTCTCCGGGAGCACCTGCCCCTCATTGGGGTTTGCAGCTCAGCCTCCTGGCAGGTGCCACAGGTGGCCCAGGTGGGGGCCGGCGTGAGGAGAGCAGGCCCACAGGGAGGGCAACAGCAGAGGCATCTGGCTTACCTTGCGCTGCGCTGGATCCCAAGAGGGGCTGCGAAGTGTCTCTGGGGAAGGAGAAACACAGCTTGATGTTTTCTCAGCATAAAAAGGCGTCATGTCTTTATTACGGTGGGATGGGGGTGAGGGGGACCTGTTTTCCTGAGTCCCTCTCCACCCTCTGCCCCCCTCTTCCCTTTTCTCCCTCCTCCACCTTCTTCTCCTCCTCCTCTTCCTCCTCCTCCTTCCCCTCCTCCTCCCCCTTCTCCACCTCTCCCTCTTTCTCTTCCGCTTCCTTCTCCTCCTCTCATCTTTTCCTCCTCCCCTCTTCCCCCTTCTCTTGTTCCTCCTTCTCCCTCTCCTCTTCCTGTTCTTTCTCCTCCCCTCTCTCCTCCCCCTCCTTTTCTTTCGCTTCTTCCTCCTCTACCTTCTCCAACCTCTTCCTTCCCCTCCTCCCCCTCCTCCTCTTTCTCTTCCTCCTTCTCCTCTCCAGCCTCTTCCTCCTCTCCCTCCTCCTCTTTCTCTTCCTCCTCCTTCCCCTCATCCTCTCCCCTCTCCTCTTCCTCTTTCTCTTCTTCCTCCTCCATCTTCTCCAGCCTCTTCTTTCCCCTCCTCTTCCTTTTCTTCTTTCTCTTCCTCCTCCTCCAGGCTCTTCCTCCTCTCCCTTCTCCTCTTTCTCTTCCTCCTCCTCCTCTCCCTCCTCCTCCCCCTCCTCCTCTCCCTTCTCCTCTTTCTCTTCCTCCTCCTCTCCCTCCTCCTCTCCCTCCTCCTCTTTCTCTTCCTCCTCCTCCTCTCCCTGCTTCTCCCCCTCCTCCTCTTTCTCTTCCTCCTCCTTCCCCTCCTCCTCTCTTTCCTCCTCTCCCTCCTCCTCCCCTTTTTCCTCCTCTTCTTCCTGTTTCTCTTCTTCCTCCTCCACCTTCTCCAACCTCCTCCTTCCCCACTCTTCCTGCTTCTACTTCTCTCCCTCCCCCTTCCCCTCCTCCTCTCCCTCCTCCTTTTTCTCTTTCTCCTTTTCCTCCTCCTCCAGCCTCCTCCTCTTCCTCCCTCTCCTCCTCTTTCTCTCCCTCCCCCTTCCCCTCCTCCTCTCCCTCCTCCTTTTTCTCTTTCTCCTTTTCCTCCTCCTCCAGCCTCCTCCTCTTCCTCCCTCTCCTCCTCTTTCTCTCCCTCCTCCTTCCCCTCCTCCTCTCCCTCCTCCTTTTTCTCTTTCTCCTTTTTCTCCTCCTCCAGCCTCCTCCTCTTCCTCCCTCTCCTCCTCTTTCTCCTCCTTCCCCTCCTCCTCTTCTTCCTCCTCCCCCTCCTTCTTTTTCTCTTCCTCATCCTTCTCTTTCTCCTCCTCCAACCACTCCCTCCTCCTCCTCTGTCTCCCTCCTCCTCCACCTCCTCCTCTTTCTCTTCCTCCTCCTTCTCCTCCTCCAGCCTCCTCCTCCTCTTGTTTCTCCTCTTTCTCCCTCTATCTTTAATTTTTTTTTTTTTTTTGACACTGAGTCTCACTCTATCGCCCAGGCTGGAGTGCAGTGACCTCGGCTCTCTACAACCACCGCCTCCCAGGTTCAACAATTCTGCCTCAGCCCCCCGAGTAGCTGGGATGACAGGCACCTGTCACCACGCCTGACTAATTTTTGTATTTCTTTAGTAGAGACGGGGTTTCACCATGTTGGTCAGGCTGGTCTCGAACTCCTGACCTCAGATGATCCACCCACCTCGGTCCCCCAAAGTGCTGGGATTACAGGCACCTGCCACCACGCCTGGCTAATTTTTGTATTTTTAGTAGAGATGGGGTTTCACCGTGTTGGTCAGGCTGGTCTCGAACTCCTGACCTCAGGTGATCCACCCACCTCGGCCCCCCAAAGTGCTGGGATTACAGGCGTGAGCCACCACTCCCGGCCTTCTTTAAACTTCTTTATGAAGACCCAGAATGCAAGTTTATGCGTGATCTATACACACATATTTTATCTGGCACATGTATCTCTTTGATGGCCAGGACACAGCATGCTAGTGTGAACCATACTCCACACAGGATGACGGCTTCCTCACTGTAACATCATCTGCCAGCCAGAGCCCTGAAGCCATCGAGGATTTGGGTGGAAATTAGCTCCTGAAGGATCAAGAAGGTACTTTCTCCTAGAGGCAGGAAATTTAGGCAATTAAAATCCATTTTTGGCCGGGCGCGGTGGCCTCATGCCTGTAATCCCAGCACTTTGGGAGGCCGAGGTGGGCGGATCACGAGGTCAGGAGTTCAAGACCAGCCTGGCCAATGTGGTGAAACCCCGTCTCTACTAAAAATACAAAAATTAGCCGGGTGTAGTGGCAGGTGCCTGTAGTCCCAGCTACTCGGGAGGCTGAGGCAGGAGACTCACTTGAACCTGGGAGGTGGAGGTTCTTGAGGTCAGGAGTTCAAGACCAGCCTGGCCAACATGGTGAAACCCCAACTCTACTAAAAATACAAAAAATTAGCCGGGCGTGGTGGCGGGCACCTGTAGTCCCAGCTACTTGGGAGGCTGAGGCAGGAGAATGGTGTGAACCCAGGAGGCGGATCTTGCAGTGAGCCGAGATCGCACCACTGCATTCCAGCCTGGGTGACAGAGCGAGACTCCATCTCAAAAAAAAAAAAAAAAAAAAAAAGAGAGAGAGAGAGAGAGATACTTCTGAACAAAAACACCCACATCCCTACCTTCTTGAGCTCACTTTCTGGGCTGCGCCTTCAGTCAAATTTTGAGCAATTATTACTTGCATTCTGCAGTGTGTCAAAAACTAAATTTCAGTGTGGGATCGGTGGGATGAGTCACTCTGAGGAGTGGAGACGTTCCCATTTTATTTTATGTTATGTTATTTTTATTTAATTAATTTATTTATTTTTTGAAATGGAGTCTTGCTCTGTCACCCAGCCTGGGCAACATCTCGGCTCACTGCAACCTCTGCCTCCAGGTTCACGCCATTCTCCTGCCTCAGCCTCCCGAGTAGCTGGGACTACAGGCACCTGCCACCACTCCCAGATAATTTTTGTACTTTTAGTAGAGACGGGGTTTCACCCTGTTGGCCAGGCTGGTCTCGAACTCCTGACCTCATGATCCACCCGCCTCGGCCTCCCAAAGTGCTGGGATGACAGCCTTGAGCCACTGCACTGGCCTTATTTTTTATTTTTATTTTTATAAGAGTCAGGGTCTCGCTCTGTCGCTCAGGGTGGAGTGCAGTGGGATGATCATAGCTCACTACATCTGGTTTCAGTAGCATGCAGGGAAATCTTCAAATAACGCAAGTCACCAAACAGCCTTGGTCTGCTCCACCCAGAGATCTGTCTTCAGACAGGTTCAATGATCATCTCTAGCCAATAGCCATAATGTGTATGAAAAATCAATGCCTCGATTCCAGACGTGCAGAAAATGACCTCTCATGTCAAACATTACTCATTGTCTCTTTCCAGCTTGCTGTATGACCTCAGTGCTGGGTGGGTTTCCTCTCTGCTGTCTGATGACTCTCTGATGACTCTGTCTCTCTCTCTGTCTCTCTCTGTGTGTGTGTATTTATATATATATATAAACATATATATATATAAACATATATATATATTCCATTGCACATGCTGCAAAAGTTTTGTGTACATGCTTTTCCTCTGCTATTTAATGACCCCAAATCTCTCTCCTTCTTTCTCTCCCTTCCGTCACCCATTTCTCTCTCACCTATCTGTCATCTATTATCTATCTATCTATCCATCATTTATCTATCCATCTATCTACCCATCTGTCATTCATCTATTCATTTACTATTTATTGATCTATCTATTATTTATTTATCTATCTTTTATCTATCCATCGATCATTTATCTATCTGCCCAACTATCAGTTATCTGTCCATCTATTATTTATCTATTTATCTATCTATCCATCTAAATACCCATCTATCATTTATCTATCTTTCTATCCATCTATTATGTGTCTATCCATCATTTATCTATTCATCTATCATTTATCTATCCATCTATCAATCATTTATATGTTCATCTATCATTTATCTACCTATCATTTATATATCTATCTACCCATCTATCTATCCATCTATCATTTATCTATCTATCCATCAATCATCTATCTATCCATCTATCATTTATCTATCCACCAATCATTATCTATCTATCCGTCAATCATTATCTATCCATGTATCATTTATCCATCTATCCATCAATTATCTATCTATCCATCTATCATCTATTTATCCATCTATCATTTATCTATCCATCTATCATTTATCTATCCATCATTCATTATCTATCCATCTATCATTTATCCATCTATCCATCAATCATCTATCTATCCGTCTATCATCTATTTATCCATCTATCATTTATCTATCCATCTACCATTTATCTATCTATCCATCAATCATTATCTATATATCCATCAATCATTATCTATCCATCTATCATTTATCCATCTATCCATCAATCATCTATCTATCCGTCTATCATCTATTTATCCATCTATCATTTATCTATCCATCTACCATTTATCTATCTATCCATCAATCATTATCTATATATCCATCAATCATTATCTATCCATCTATCATTTATCCATCTATCCATCTATCATCTATCTATCCATCTATCATCTATTTATCCATCTATCATTTATCCATCTATCCATCAATCATCTATCTATCCATCTATCATCTATTTATCCATCTATCATTTATCTATCCATCATTTATCTATCCATCAATCATTATCTATATATCCATCAATCATTATCTATCCATCTATCATTTATCCATCTATCCATCAATCATCTATCTATCCATCTATCATCTATTTATCCCTCTATCATTTATCTATCCATCTATCATTTATCTATGTATCCATCAATCATCTATCTATCTATCCATCTATCATTAATCTATCTATCTAATAGGGTTTGGATCTGTGTCCCTGCCCAAATCGCATGCTGAATTGTAATCCCCAATGTTGGAGGTGGGGCCTGGTGAGAGGTGATTGGATCGTGGGGGTGGGCCCCTCAGGAGTGGTTTAGGCCTGGGGAGAGGTGATTGGATCGTGGGGGTGGGCCCCTCAAGAGTGGTTTAGGACCATCCCTTTGGCGCTGTTCTTCTGCTAGAGTTCTCACGCGATCTGGTTGATTACAAGTGTGTGGCACCTCCCCCGCCTCTCCTCTTACTCCAGCAATGTAAGACGTACCTGTTTCCCCTTTGCCTATAAGTTTCCTGAGGCCTCCTCAGAAGCCCAAGCCACTGGGCTTCTTGTACAGCCTGCAGAACCATGAGCCAATTCAACCTCTTTTCTTTATAAATTACCCAGGCTCAGGTATTGCTTTATAGCAATGCAAGAACAAATTGATATTCTATCTATCTGTCTATCTATCTATCTATCTATCTATCTATCTATCTATCTATCTATCATCTATCTAGCTATCTATATATGTCTATATATCTATCTATCATCTATCTATCATCTATCTATCTACCTATCATCTATCTAGCTATCTATCTATATATCTGTCTATATATCTATCTATTCTCTGTCTATCATCTATCTATCTATCATCTATCTAGCTATCTATCTATATATCTGTCTATATATCTATCATCTATCTATCTATCTATCATCTATCTAGCTATCTATCTATATATCTGTCTATATATCTATCTATCATCTGTCTATCATCTAGCTATTTGCCTATCTATCTATCATCTATCTAGCTATCTAGCTATCTATCATCTATCTAGCTATCTATATATCTGTCTATATATCTATCTATCATCTATCTGTCTATCATCTATCTGTCTACCATCTATCTATCTGCCTATCTATCTATCATCTATCTAGCTATCTATCATCTACCTATTATCTACCTATCATCTATCATCTACCTATTTAATCTATCATCTATCTATTATCTATCAATCATCTATTATCTACCTACCTATGATCTGTTTATCTACCTATCTATCTATTATCCATCAATCATCTATTATCTATCTACCTATTAGCTATCTATTTATCTACGTCTATGTACCTCATCTATCTATCCGTTATCTATCTCTATCTCTTTGTCTCTCTATCTAGCATTTATCTCTCTATCTCCTGTCTATCCATCATCTATCATCTATCTGCCTATCTATCTACATACTACCTATGTCTATCGTCTATCTCTGCATGTATACACACTGTAATGTGTATGGCTCTTTTATCCATGTATCTATCTCATCAATCAATCAATCAATCAATCAATCATCTATCTATGTATCCCTCTCTCTCTATCCATCATCTATCTCTCTATTCATCGTCTATCTCTCTCTCTATCCAGCATCTATTTATCTATCTGCCATTGATCTATTACCCATCTATCTGCCATCTATGTACATATGCATGTGCATACTTAACTGTCTACCTACCTACCTACCTTGTTTCATCCTTGATGCAATTAGTCATATGCTTCATGAATTAACAAGAACTGCTGCAAACATTCTCCTCCCTAAAGCAGAAGGAAGGATAAAGCGCATTATTCTGTTTGACTTTTGGGGTCATACGGTCACCACTGACAACCTCCTCAAACCCAGAACACCTTTAGGTGGGGAGGGCGACCGGTTCACACATACTTCTCCAAGGAAGCGCCTGTTCTGTTGCTGGCATATAAACCCTGCAACCCTCACCTCCAGACCCAGGTCTTTCTCGGGGGACCACCTGTTTAGCATCCAGCAACGAGTCATGCTGGAGCCTCTCCAGCAAGCTCTGAACACTAAACAGGTCCCCTCCCACGTTCTATGGGGACTCTCCTAACCTTCTGGGGCAAAAAAAGAAAAAAGAAAAAAAAATCCTAATTCGAAGCACATTGATCTCCAGGCATATGTTTTATATCAGGACCTATGAAACCAAGGTGAAAATGTGAAAATATGCTTGGAAATCTAGCATGTATCTGTCCATCTACCAGTTATCTATTCATCTGTTACTTATCTATTTATCTATCTAAATACCCATCTACCATTTATCTATCTATCCACCTATTGCTTATGTATCTCTCCATCATTTATCAGTCTATCTTTTATTATTCATCTATCATTAATCTGTCTATCCATCTGTCATTTATCTATCTACCCAGCTATCATTTATCTATTCATCTATCATTTATCTATTTATCCATCTATCATCTATCTGTCCATCATCTATCTTTTATCTATTCATCTATCATTTATCTATCTATCTATCCATCTGTCATTTATCTATTCATGTATTACTTATCTATTTATCTATCTATCCATCTAAATACCCATCTATCTATCTATCCATCCATCTATTGTTTATGTGTCTATCCATCATTTATCTATCAATGTGTCTTTTATCTATTCATCTACATTTATCTATCTATCCATCTGTCATTTATCTATCTTTCTATCATTTATCTATTCATCTATCATTTATCTATTTGTCCATCTATCATCTAGGTATCTGTCCATCGTCTATCTTTTATCTATTCATCTATTATTTATCTATCTATCCATCTGTCATTTATCTATCCATCTATCTTTTATCTATTCATCTATCATTTATCTATTTATCCATCTATCATCTATGTATCTGTCCATCATATATCATTTATCTATTCATCTATCATTTGTCTATCTACCCATCTATCTATATATCTACCCTTCTATCAATCTATCCATCTATCATCTACCTATATATCTGTCTACCCATCTATCAATCTCTCTATCCATCTATCATCTATCTATATATCTATCTACCCCTCTATCAATCTATCCATCTATCATCTGTATATCTATATATCTATCTACCCATCTATCTATCTCTATCATTTATCTATCTATCTATCAATCATACCCTCCCCTCGTCATTACCCCAGTTAGCTTGGGCTCTGGAGCTGGTCCAGTTGAAAAACAGCAAACAATCACCAGAGGAGAATCTCAGGCAGGACTTGCTGTACGTCAGAGGGAAGATGGAGGTTTCAAGGAGTCAACCATGTTGAATTCAACTCTGTGCCCTTCCTTCAGCAATAGCTGTGAGGTTTTCTAGTTACGAGACCTCCTTGCCCTCTGGAGTTGATGAACACTATTGGTGACCGCCATATTGCCAGCATTTCTTAATGTTATATTTCAGAGTAGGTTTGAAGTCAACCCAACTCCACCCATCACTGGGGCTGAGCAATAAGACTGACCATTCTTCAACCTCAGTTTCTCCATCTCTGAAGTGGGGATATGAAGTACCTCGAAGAGATAGTTCACAATGGATGACACAGCAAAAAGATCCTCACCAGACATAGCACCTCAACCTCAGACTTTCCAGCCCTCGGAACCATGAGACCAATGAACTCCCATTGTTTATAAATTACCTAATCAGTGGCACTCTTTTATAGAAGTACAAAATAAACTAAGATGAAGTCTGTCATCATTTTCGTTACAGCAGCCAGTGGAAGCTAATACCCTTTCTAATACCCTGCCTCTTCTGGGTGTCCATGAGTAACACAGGAAACATCTCATTTGTAATCAACACCTGCTCAATGTCAAGTTTGTTCAAAAGGGCTAACTCACTCAAGTATTACAATAAACCCAAGAGAGCCTCTACCTCCCCAGTTCCTCTTCATTCTTCTCCACTCTCTGCTTCAGGAGGCTGGAAAGTGTGGACTGTCTCAACAGCAACCATGAGCTCTGGTTTTCATTTGAGTTGTTGGGTTCAACATGCAAGAGATTAGAGGTAAGTTCTGAGCCTTCTCCTCAGATTCTGTCTCTGATAAGTCATCTTGCTCAAGTCCCTCCAGGACTTCCTCCCAGGCTGTTACACTGCTCAGTTTCTGCACAAACTCAGGGCTTGCACTGAGTCCTATGCCCATCTTTGAGCCAATTATGGTGCCAGGATGTTCACCTGCAGGAAACTGGTTGCTTAAACTGGAGGAGAGATAAAGGTTGTGCAGGTAGAGACAAACAATGGTCAGTGTAGGGTCCAAAGGAAGCAGCTGTCCTTACTCCTCACTGGCTAGAGCTATCCAGAGAATGTTCCAGAAGACACACATTTGGTTAAAGCACATTTATCTCCAGGCACATGTTTTCCATCAGGACCTTCAAAACCAATGTGAAAATATGCTTGGAAATCTGGCTTCACAAGAAAAACAGCAAATAAACACCAGAGGAGAATCTCAGACAGGACTTGTAAATCAGGAGGAAGACAGAGGTTTCAAGGAATGGAAGCCACATCCTGCTTTTCCTATGCTGGTGACATAGACTCCGTCTCCGAGCCTTTTCTTCAATCAGATGATTGATACGTAGACAGATGTACTGAGATAGATAGATATACAGATGTATAGATAGATACATGATAGATGATTGATACTTACAGATGTACTGATATAGATAGATGATTGATACATTGACAGATGTACTGATTGAGAGATAGATGATTGATACATAGATGTATTGATAGATAGATGGTAGATAGATGATAGATGATAGATAGATAGATAATAGATAGAGGAATAGATGACTGATATAGAGATGATATAGATAGATATATAGACAGAGCTAGAGAGATGATAGATGTAGGTAGGTAGATGATAGTCAGATGATGTTTGGATAGATAGAATACAGATAGCTTTAGGTAGTAGATAGATAGGGTAGATGGAAGATTGAAAGAGAGATGACAGAATATAAATAGATGACAGACGGATGATGGATAAATAAATAGATGGATAGATAGAGAAATAGATATAAAGAATGGATAGATGAATGGATAGATTGATAGATGAGTAGGTGAATGGAGAGATGATAGATGGATAGATGGAGAATGCATAGATGGATAGAGACATACACAATGATGCATCTATCAAACCAACGCCTGTTAGGTTTTCTGGTAAGGAGACCCGGTTGCTATCTGGAGTTGATGACACTCTTTGTGACCACCACCTTACCAGCATTTGTTAGTGCTATCTTTGGGAGCAGGTTTGGAGTCAGCCCAACTCCCCCCGTTACTACTGGTGCTGAGGAATGAGACTGACTCTTCTTCATCTTTAAAATGGGGAGATGATGTATCTGAAAGAGCCACAGTGAGCATTACATGGCCAGCCTCTCCATGGCAAGGGAGAGAGGCGCTTCCAGATGAGAGCAGAGCAAGAAGGCATCACTCTTACACTTTCTTGGGCCCGAATGGGTCATTGCCACCGGACAGATTCCTGGAGGTGTCCTTAAAATGCTTTACCTCTGCATCTGAGCACACAGGTGTAAGCCAGGAGTGTGCTGAAGAAAAGAACAAGCCCTGAGGTGGGGCATGAATGGTGCATCTGTTTGCAGGTGATCCAGATGGACTGGGATAACTTGACTGTTGGGTATTCACCTGAGAAAAGAACCACGCCCTGTACACCAGGCATCCGTGGCAACAGGCGTCGGTGGCAACCAGCTGTGAACACAGGAAATGCCTTTGACCCACCACCCCTGGGATCCAACTGAATCTTTTCACATCCTTCCAACCACCCACCTGCCTTCAGGAATCTCCCAGTGCCCACAGTCCCCTTGAGTCTGCAAACCAGGCTGTTACAGATTCTGAAGAATCCGCACACAGGTGTTCCCAGCTAGCCCCCGTCACCTTTCTGATTCTGCCACCGTTCTCCCAACATGGTGAGACCCCATGAATGTATGAAGCCTGTGCTTTGGGGAAAGATTTCTGAGACATTTTGTTTCCTGTGGAGACCAAAGGAAGCCACCTGGCTCTCACAGCAGAAAATTAGGCAGCAGGAGCTGAGGCATTTTGCAGAATGTGCCAGGGCTGTCAGCAAAGTGACAGACACATGTCACTCTCTGTCGGCACTGGCTTGTCACTCATCTGGGCTGTGACATGACACGGTGGATCATCTATTAACTGCCGCAGACCCTTAAAGACGCGAGGATTCATTTGCCTGTTGGTGAACGTGCAAAATTCCCGCGCGTGTTAGCAAGATCCGCAGGTGCACCTGGTTCCACGCAGGTAGACCTCAGACACCCCATTCTGCACATCCTCAGCAAAGGGGCTCATGCATGACAGCCCCAAATGGGATCTTATCTTGCTCCAACAGCCAATGAGAACGTCAAAGGAAATCCTCAACACGAAAACGTATGATGAGGTGTATAAAGAGTTAAACAAATTTATGAATAAAAATCCCACATGCCAAAAAAAGAGCTTATCTGGAATTCTGATGTATGGACTCTCTGGCATTCATTTTTATGTCATATTAAGATTTTTTATACAAACTCTTAGTGCTTGTTTTTCTTTTAAGAAGCAAGTCAAATAGTTTAGTTTTTTTAAAGAAACAAGTCAAGTATTAGCTTTGAAATTCTGAGAGCTGTCAGAATAAATTATTACTTAATAAATATTTTCATATTAATTGTAAAAATATAAAATTATTATATTTAATATAATAAATTTAATTTTAAATTATTAAAATTAAATAATTATAATAAATTATTTTAATAAATATTTTATATATTAATTATAAACATATAAAATCTTTAAAATACAATTATAATATATTTTCTAATATTTTAATATATGTGTTATATATTTATATTTTAACATATTTATTTTATTATATATTTATATTTATAATATATTTAATATATTTATTATAATATATTTATAAAATTATAAATATATTTAACATATTTGTTAATATATTATAAAATTAAAATATTTTTGTAATATTTTCAAAATATTAAAAATACAATTAATATTTTCAAAATTATTTATTAAAAATACAATAAGTATTTTTATATTAATTATAGAAATAAAAATTTTATGTCATATTAAAATTTTTATACAAACTTAGCACTTAATTTTTTAAAAAGTCAAATATTAGCTTTGAAATTCTGAGCGCTTTTAGAATAAATTATTATTTAATAAATATTTTATATTAATTATAAAAATATGAAGTTATTACATTTAATATAATAAATATAAATTTAAATTATGAAAATTTAAATTATTTTAATAAATTATTTTATACCAATATTTTATATATTAATTATAAATATATAAAATATGTATTTCTATAAATAAATAATATGTATTTTATATTTAAAAACATCTTTATTAAATATTTTAGTATATATTATATATTATATTTATTAGCTATATATTATGATATATAATATGTTATATGATATTATAATATATTTATTAGATATATTATAAAATTATAAATATATAATTTTATATATTTTATAAAATAGAAATATGTTTATTAATATATTTATAAAAACTATAAATATATTTATAAAATTAAAATAATTTTATATTTTAAAAATTATAAATATATAATTTTATATATTTTATAAAAATACAAATACGTTTAATATATTTATAAAATTAAAATAATTTCATAATATTTTTAAACTATTTAAAATATAATAAATATTTTTATATTCATTATAAAAATATAAAATTATATTTAATATAATAAACATAAATTTAAATTGTTAAAACGTAAACAACATTCATAAATCATGTTTCTTGCCTCCACTGAACCAAACGGCATCCGTTGCCCATTGTCTTGAGGACATGTGGTTGTATGGAGTGAAGTAGTCGGACGTCAGGAGGGTGGAATTAAAGAAGGGGAGGATGGGAGGCCCTTTCTGATACGAGGTGCAGTCCCATCATGGAACTGTCTGCCCACAGCTTGAGTGTACGTGGAGCCTCCATGACATATTTTTCAATGACCGTGGACCACAGTCCCGGGTAGACCAATCAGGAGCCGATTTGTAGACGGACAACCCTAGGGTGTCAGTCCTGACAGGCTGGGTTCTGTCCACCCTTGATGTCTGTCCAGCCACAGTCCTCTGAGCTCATGTATCTGCGGCTTGTCATTGCTAGTCAAATTCAAATACTTTCCCTTCCCTCATTTTCCTGGGTGTGTTTTGGGTGCCCAAGTTTCTTTTTCTGCATGATTGTAATCATTTTCATTCTTCTCAACGGTGTCTTCCCCATGCCTGAATGCAAGCTCTCATTGGATACCATCCTGGGTTCTGTAAACTATTGAAATAAAAGAGCATAAAAGCTGTTTCCAGTTTCCACTTTTTGTTTTGTTTTGTTTTGAGACAGAGTTTGTCATCATCCAGGCTGGAGTGCAGTGGCACAATCTCAGCTCACTGCAACCTCCGCCTCCCAGGATTCAAGCAATTCTCCTGCCTCAGCCTCCCGAGTAGCTGGGATGACAGGAACCCGCCCTAACTCCTGGCTAATTTTCGTATCCTTAGTAGAAAGAGGGTTTCACCATGTTGGCCAGGCTGGTCTCGAACACCTGACCTCAGGCGATCCTCCATCCTCGGCCTCCCAAAGTGCTGGGGTTACAGGCGTGAGCCACCGCGCCCGGCCTAGACTTTCTTAAGAAGACTCAAATATTAATGTATTTTTTTGTCCTGTATTCCATCCTGGGTTTCATCAGGACAAAACTCCCCATTTGAGTATCTTTCTGAACTTATGAGCCCCTAGAATACAACAGGAAGCTCGTGGACACAGCCCAGCTCAGACACAACATTGGTGGACAGTTACAGGGCTGCCCCAGAATGGAGCGTCAACCTCTCCACTTATATTTCGACCTTCTTGATTTCTCGACACATGTAAGATGTCAGGCATGAGGTCGAGAGATTGCCCATCATAACTAACCTGTCTTGGGGGGGTAGGATCCTAGAACCAGCTTTTGTATGCAAAATTAAGTCAGTTTCACTAAAATCAAACAAGAGATGACTGTAACACAGTAACCCACATAATTCAGACGAATAGCTGAATTACCTAGGGGAGGCCAATTTGGTTCCCACTGCTAAATAAATGCACACAAAATTAAGCATTATGATAGTTTATTCTTTCTCTGTTTTTTTGGGTTTCTTCCCCCCCAAGACAGGGTCTTGCTCTGTTCCTCGGGCTCGAGTACAGCGGCATGATCACACCTCACTGATGAAACCACAGGCATTCACCACCATGCTTGCTAATTTTTTTTTTTTTTTAGAGAGAGATAGGGGTCTTGCTGTGTTGCCCAGGCTGGTCTTGAGCTCCTGGACTCAAGTGATCCTCCTGCCTTGATTTTCCAGAGCCAGCTCATTCTCACCGTGTCTTAACAGCAGTTCGCGGCCGGGCACAGTGGCTCATGCCTGTCATCCCAGCACTTTGGGAGGCCAAGAAAGGTGGATCACTTGAGGTCAGGAGTTCAAGACCAGCCTGGCCAACATAGTGAAACCCGGTCTCTACTAAAAATATAAAAACTAGCCGGGCGTGGTGGTGGACGCCTGTCATCCCAGCTACTCGGGAGGCTGAGGCAGGAGAATTGCTTGAACCCAGGATATGGAGGTTGCAGTGAGCTGACACAGTGCCACTGCACTCCAGCCTCGGCAACAGAGTGAGACTCTGTCTCAAAAAACAAACAAACAAAACAAAACAAAACAAAACAGAAAAAAAACAGCCAGGCACAGTGGCTCAAGCCTGTAATCCCAGCACTTTGGGAGGCCAAGGCGGGTGGATGACCTGAGGTCGGGAGTTTGAGACCAGCCTGAACAACATGGAGAAACCCCATCTCTACTAAAAATACAAAAATTAGCCGGGCGTGGTGGTGCATGCCAGTAATCCCAGCTACTCAGGAGGCTGAGGCAGGAGAATCGCTTGAACCCAGGAGGCAGAGGTTGCAGTGAGCCAAGATCACGCCACTGCACTCCAGCCTCTGTGATGGGAGCAAGCCTCCATCTCAAAAAATATATATAGTGTGTATATATATATTTTATGTATACATCGTTTTATATATAATATATAATTATATATTTTTATATAATTATATATTATATCATATATTATATAATACACGATATAATATACTATATATTATATAATACACGATATAATATACTATATATTATATAATACACGATATAATATACTATATATTATATAATACACGATATAATATACTATATATTATATAATACACGATATAATATACTATATATTATATAATACACGATATAATATACTATATATTATATAATACACGATATAATATACTATATATTATATAATACACGATATAATATACTATGTATTATATAATACACGATACAATATACTATGTATTATATAATACACGATACAATATACTATATATTATATAATACACGATACAATATACTATATATTATATAATACACGATACAATATACTATATATTATATAATACACGATACAATATACTATATATTATATAATACACGATACAATATACTATATATTATATAATACATGATATAATATATAATGTGTATTATATAATACATGATATAATATATAATGTGTATTATATAATACATGATATAATATATAATGTGTATTATATTATACATGATATAATATATAATGTGTATTATATTATACATGATATAATATATTATATTATACATGATATAATATATTATATTATTACATGATATATTATATTATACATGATATAATATAATATATTATACATGATATATTATACATGATATAATACATTATATCATATATTATATTATACAATAGATATTATATATTATATTTTATATATGATATATGTAATTGATATATATGATATAGATGATAATATATGATATTATATATTATATAATATATTTGATAATATAAAATATGCTATATATTATATTTTATAATATATTTTGTAAGCATATATAATATATAATTATATATTATATTATATATCATATAATATATTATATATTTGATAACATAATATACTATATATTATATTTTATAAGCATGTATAATATATAATTATATATTATATATTATATATAATATTTTATATTATAAAAGATATAGTTATATAATATATTATAATTATATGTTATATATAATATATATTTTATATAAAAGATATATTATATGTAATTATATATTTTATATAATATATGTAATTATATATTATATAAAATATATGTAATTATATATTTATATAAAATATATGTAATTATATATTTTATATAAAATATATATTGTATGTAATTATATATTATCTATAATATATAATTATCATATATTATCTATAATATATAATTATCATATATTATCTATAATATATAATTATCATATATTATCTATAATATATAATTATTTTCATATATTATCTATAATATATAATTATCATATATTATCTATAATATAATTATTATATATTATCTATAATATGTAATTATTATATATTATCTATAATATAATTATTATATATTATCTATAATATGTAATTATTATATATTATCTATAATATTTATAATTATTATATATTATCTATAATATGTAATTATTATATATTATCTATAATATGTAATTATTGTATATTATCTATAATATGTAATTATTATATATTATCTATAATATTTATAATTATTATATATTATCTATAATATGTAATTATATATTATCTATAATATTTATAATTATTACATATTATCTATAATATGTAATTATTATATATTAGCTATAATATGTAATTATTGTATATTATCTATAATATGTAATTATTATATATTAGCTATAATATGTAATTATTGTATATTATCTATAATATGTAATTATTATATATTATCTATAATATTTATAATTATTATATATTATCTATATTTATAATTATTATATATTATCTATAATATATAATTTATTATATATTATGTAATTTTATATAGTTATATATAATTATATTATCTATAAAATATATATTATATATTTTTTATATCTGTATATGGCTGTGTAAAACACAATGTTAGCAGCACTATAGGGAGTGCAGGCAGCTGAGAGAGTCTTATGAGGCAGCAGAGACAAGACTGTCTCATTGCACATGGTAAGTATTCAATACATTGCAGTACTATCATCACAAGTAGCATTTCCTACACTGTTTCCCCTGTTAATTTCCTAACAGGAATGACTAGTAACACATGCCATTATTTGTCCTTTCTATGGCTGTTCTCTGCCTTTTCCTTTCTATAATAAATTTTTACAAGTTAAAAAGAAAAGAGCGTGTCATTGCTCAATTGCTTATAATAGCAAAAACATTGCAAAGTGTGATCGTGGCAAGTGGTTGCAGGATGTAAGGCAATTATCTCCTTATGTGGGATGGGAAATTGGAACCACAGATTGGAGGGAAAGTCAGTGCTGTCCACGACAATTAAGTGCAGGTTTTCTTCTGACCAGGCAATCCCACTTCTAAGTGTCTACCCTGGAGAAACTCTCATACTCAGGCACGACGTAGCATGGGGAAGCATGCTTGTTGCAGCAATGACTCTGATAGCAGAAAAACGGGCAGACTCTAATTGTTCGCCCAACGGGGGACTTGATGGATCCATACTGTGGATCACATCGAACAGATAAAATGAGAAAGTGGACCTCTGTGTGCTGGTGGGGAATATCTCCAACACAGGTTGTTGAGTGAGAAAAGTAACTTGGGGAATCTACAAGCAACAATACAACGTGACTCTATGAATGTTTTCACAAGTCACACACATGCAACAACAGGTCCAAATGTGTCTAAATGTGTGGAAAATGTTCTGGAAGGGTATTAAGTGACAATGGCAGTTATCTCGGGGGAGTGGATAAGAAATGAGTCTTCCTGGGACTGTAAACTAGTTCAACCATTGCGGAAGTCAGTGTGGCGATTCCTCAGGGATCTAGAACTAGAAATACCATTTGACCCAGCCATCCCATTACTGGATATATACCCAAAGGAGTATAAATCATGCTGCTATAAAGACACATGCACACGTATGTTTATTGAGGCACTATTCACAATAGCAAAGACTTGGAACCAACCCGAATGTCCAACAATGATAAACTGGATAAAGAAAATGTGGCACATATACACCATGGAATACTATGCAGCCATAAAAAATGATGATTTTATGTCCTTTGTAGGGAAATGGATGAAGCTGGAAACCATCATTCTCAGCAAACTATCACAAGGACTAAAAACCAAACACCGCATTTTCTCACTCATAGGTGGGAAATGAACAATGAGAACACATGGACACAGCGTGGGGAACATCACACACCAGGGCCTGTTGTGGGGTGTGGGGATGGGGGAGGGATAGCATTAGGAGAGATACCTAATGTTAAATGATGAGTTAATGGGTGCAGCACACCAACATGGCACATGTATACATATGTAACGAACCTGCACGTTGTGCACATGTACCCTAAAACTTAAAGTATAATAATAAAAAAAAAGACATGAGTCTTCTTTAGGAGGACTCTGCCTTTATTCAGAGTGTGTCTATGTTGTTCCCAAAGCACATTTCTAAAATAATTTCCTGAATATCTGCAAACCAATATATTGTCTTGGAAGACGACGAGGCAAAGGCAAAGTAAACAGGAACACATAGAGTAAAAATCATGTCTGGACTTATCTACTCATCTATCTCTCGTTCATCCACATACCCATCCACCTGTTCATTCATCCATTCACCTATGCATCCACCTATTCATTCATACAACCATCCACCCACCTACTTATCCATTCATCCATCTTTCCATTCACAAACACATCCGTCCATCCATACATCCATTTACTAATCGACCCATCCACTTATCTGTCCACCCATTCATCCATCCACTCATTTATCCACCCAGCCATCCACTCATTCACCTACCCACCTATCCATCCATCCACCTACCCACCCATCCATCCATCCACCCATCCATCCATGCATCCACCCATCTGTCCATCCATCTATCCACCCATTAACTCATCCATCATCCATCCATTTATCCATCCACCATCCATCCATCTACTCATATACCCATCCATCCATCCATGCATCCACCCACCCATCCATCTATCCAATCATTCATCATTCATCCATCTATCTACTCATACACCCATCCATCCACTCATCTAACCTTTCATCCACTCATCCACCTGCCCATTGATCCACTCATCCACCCATCCATCCACTCATTCACCCATTCATCCATCCACCCATCCACTCATTCATTATCCATCCATCATCCCATCCATCATCAATCCATTCCTCTACCCCTACACCCATCTATACACCTATCCACTCATCCATCTATCTGCCCATTGATCCACCCATCCACCCATCTATCATGTATCCATCTATCCACTCATCAATCTATCTACCACCCATCCATCCACCCATTCCCATTTATCATCTATCCACCCACCCATCTACCCATTCACTCATCCATCATCCATCATCCATTAATTCACCCATCCATCCACCCATCCAGCTATCCATCCACCCATCCATCCATCCATACACCCATCCACCCATCCATCCATCCAGTCATCTGCTTATCCATCATACATCCATCTACCCATCCAGCCATCTATACAACCATTAATCCACCCATCCATCCATCCACTCATCCAGCTATCCATCTATCCATCCATGCATACACCCATCCACCCATCATTCCATCCATCCACGCATCTGCTCATCCATCATGCATCCATCTATCCATCCAACCATCTATACAACCATTAATCTACCCACTCACTCATCCATCTGTCCACTCTTCCATCCATCCATCCACCCATCCATTCATCCGTCTATTCATCTACTCATCCATCATGCATCCATCTACCCATCCAGCCATCTATACAATCATTAATCCACCCACTCACCCATCCGTCTGTCCACACTTCCATCCATCTATCCATCCATCCATCCCTCCATCCATTCATCCATCCATTCATCCATCCACTCATCTGCTCATCCATCTGTCCATCTAGCCATCTATACAACCTTTAGTCCACCCACTCACCCATCCATCTGTCCACTCTTCCATCCACCCACCCACCCATCCATCCATTCACCCATTCATTCATCCATCCACTCATCTGCTTATCCATCATGCATCCGTCAGCCCATCCAGCCATCTATGTAACCATTAATCCACCCACTCACCCATCCATCTGTCCACTCTTCCATCCACCCATCCACTCATCCATTCATCCATCCATTCATCTGCTCATCCGTCTATCCATCCAACCATCTATCCATCTATACAACAATTAATCCACCCACTCACCCATCCATCATCCATCCATTTGTCCACTCTTCCATCCATCCATTCACTCATCCATCCACCCACCTACCTATCCTGTTTCATAGACGGCGACTTCTTGGTGTGTCCTCACACGGTGGAAGGGACAAGTGAGCTCTCTAGGATCCCTTTTATAAGGGCACTAATCCCATTCAGAAGGCTCCGCTCTCATGACCTCATCACCCCCCAAAGGCCCCACTTCTTAACGTCATCATCTTGGGGATGAAGAGTTCAACATAAGAATTTGGGAAAGAGCCCTACATTCAGACCACAATGGGGGCAGCTCCTACTCACCTGAGAGAGCAATATTAGGGATCCCATTGCATAGCAATTTTTTAGGGCCCTGTAGTCTTCATGGGTACAGTACTTCCTCATTGTGGACAGACTCTGTATTTGCAAATTTGCTTATTCACCAAAATTTATTGGTAATCTCAAAGTTAATACAAATTATGCCTTTGCTGTCTTCTCTGGACATGAGAAGAGTGGAGAAAAATTTGAGTCCGAGGCCGAGCGTGGTGACTCACGCCTGTAATCCCAGCACTTTGGGAGGCTGAGGTGGGCAGATCACGAGGTCAGGAGATCGAGACCACCCTGGTTAACAGGGTGAAACCCTGTCTCTTCTAAAAATACAAAAAATTAGCTGGGCATGGTGGCAGGCGCCTGTAAACCCAGCTACTCAGGAGGCTGAGGCAGGAGAATGTCATGAACCTGGGAGGCGGAGGTTGCAGTGAGCAGAGATTGTGCCACTGCACTCCAGCCTGGGTGACAGAGCAAGACTCTGCCTCAAAAATAATAATAATAATAATTTGAGTCGGAATTCTGCCCCATGGGGGACACTGTGCAATGACTGAAGACATTTCTGGTTATCACGACCAGGGAGGAGGTGACAGATACTACTAGCTTCTAGTGGGTAGAGCTCAGGGACGCTGCTGAGTATCCTACAGTATATAGGACAGCTCCCACCACGGAGAATTACCTGGCCCCCAATGTCAACAGTGCCTTAATTGAAAACACGTCATTCCAAGTTGCAGAATCAGTTACAGGAATATTGATTTTCACGAGGGCGTTGGCACAGTGCAGTCACAGACTCTGTATCACCTCATGTCACCGGGCTCTAACAGTCACATACCTAAAGCATCTTTCCTGGCTCATCACGCACGCTTCCTCCTCCCTCTCCTTTCAGTTTGATCCGTGTACATCCAACCCGTTGTAGAAAGAAAATGCCCGGAGAAAGGCTTGCAGGCACCAGTTGAAAGAAGCTTTGTAAAAACCGAGCAGGAATCTGGACAACCGTGAGACGCGATGGTTTATTTATTTGACATGAAAGGCGTCCTTTTGATCAAAACGCTGCCACTTGGCAAAAACCATGGAAGGATCACTGTGGATAAAAATCGCACTTAGCGGGGAAACAATGGTGGGGAGAGGGGAGTTTCAGGAAAGTTAATTTACAAATATACGTTTTGCATCTTTCGCTGAAGATGGAAAGAATGCATGCAGGTAACAAAAAAAAAATTCAATAAAATAGGCCTTGTAGACATTCACCTTCTGATGAATGCAGAATAAGACTTTACATTCTCGGGAAGTGTGTCCGTTATGTGGCATCTTGTTTAAAAGAGAGATTATGTTTCAGTAGGGTTGGAATAGGATTTAGGAATCTGCTTTTTTTGTTTTTTACATTTTCAAAAAAATTACATTTTAAATTATCATACTATAAAATTGATTTTCATGATATGCAGTTCGATGAACTTGAACACATTTTTGAAACATGTAAATGGCATCATGTTCGAGATACAGAATAGTTCTATCGCCTCCCCCAATTTTTCTCATTCTGTTTCTTTATAGTCACACGCACGTGCAGGCACACCAACGTCTAAGGGAATCTGCATTTTAAACACGAACCCTCGGTCGGGCGCGGTGGCTCATGCCTGTAATCCCAGCAATTTGGGAGGCCGAGGTGGGTGGATCACCTAAGGTCAGGAGTTTGAGACCAGCCTGGCCAACGTGGTGAAACCCCGTCTCTACTAAAAACACAAAAATTAGCCAGGCATGGTGGTGAGTTCCTGTAATCCCAGCTACTTGGGAGGCTGAAGCAGGAGAATTGCTTGAACCTGGGAGGTGGAAGTTGCATGAGCCGAGATCGCGCCACTGCACCCCAGCCTGCGGTGACAGAGTGAGACTCTGTCTCAAACAAACAAACAAACAAACACCCTCACATCATCCCTACTTGGTAAACCAATGGTGTAGTAAAGCTATCTTCATCCTCAGAAAGCTTCAAGACTGAACCAGGCTGAAGGGTTTATTGGCTAATGTGACTCTTGTCAAACCATTTATTTCTGAACATCACTTTGCAAAACAGGGATAATATCTATCTTTCAAAACAGGCATGAAGAAAAAGAAATAAGATAAGCAAAGGCTGGCATACAATAGGTGTTCATTAATAATGTCTATTATAATGTTTTTAGAAGTCAGAGTTTTAAACATAGAGTTTCAGATAGATAGGAAGACAAGTAGATAGACAGATAATAGATAGATAAGATAATAGATAGATAGATAGATAGATAGATAGATAGATAGATAGATAGAGAATATGGTTGATAGATAAGCTGATTGGTAGGTAGAGAGACAGGTAGATACAGAATACGATAGAGAAGATGATAGATAGGTAGATAGATAGATAGATAGATAGATAGATAATATGGTTGATAGATAAGCCGATTGGTAGGTAGAGAGACAGGTAGATACAGAATATGATAGAGAAGATGATAGATAGATAGGTAGATATAGATAGATAGATAGATAGATAGATAGATAGATAGATAGATAATAGATAATATGGTTGATAGATAAGCTGATTGGTAGGTAGAGAGATAGGTAGATAGAGAATAAGATAGAGAAGATGAGAGAAAATAGATAGATAGATAGATAGATGACAGATGATATATTGATACATGATAGATGATAGATAATATGATAGATAAAGATGATTGATACATAGATGGATAGATAAATAGGTAGACAGATAATATGATGGATAGATAAGATGACTGGTAGATAGATAGGTAGGTATATGATAGACAGGTAGATAGATAGATATAGAGAATATGATACATAGGTAGAAAGATTATTGGTAGGTAGGTAGATAGGTAGATGGATAATAGGTAGATAAGAGAATATGACAGATAAGATGATTGGAAGATAGTTAGCTAGGTAGGTAGATAGATACATAGATGAATAGATAGATAGATAATGTGATAGATAAAGATGATTGGTAGGTAGATGGATGGATGGATAGGTAGACAGAGAATATGGTAGAAAGATGGTTGTTAGGTAGGTAGATAGGTAGGTGGATAATAGGTAGATAGAGAATATGATAGATAAGATGACTGGTAGATAGGTCGGTAGGTAGGTAGATAGACCGAAAGATAGAATGGTAGATAGATAGATGCAGGCTTCTGGTTTTGACCAACATGAAGTAACAGAGATCAGAATTATCTTCCACTGGGCATAATACATGAAATGATGGCGTTCAAGACCCTGGACATGAAGCAATGAAAGACAATGATCTCTGAGAGATGGAAAAGTAATGCAGTGAGCCCTATGATCTCCCGGCTTACTGCCTGAGAGATTTTATAGGCGGCAGTACAAGGAGGCACAACACAGATGGAAACTGGAAGGCCTCTTGTGTTGAGAAGGTGGAGCTGAGAGTCTGGGGAGACCAAGGCAGGAAGAGTTCACAGGACAGAGTAGCAGATATGAGAGATCCACGTGGAGAAAGAAGCATAGAGACCTTCTGCAGAAGGTCCACCTAGAGAGCGTTGGGCTGAGAACTGATTGACATGTGTCTATGAGGAAATTATTCAAGGTGAGGGAAAGAACCAACAGAAATGACACATGGAAACAGGGAATAGTGACCAGCGTTCACACAATGTTCAAAAGGTGCCTGTTCTGACCTTCTAGATTGGAAAACTTCCATAGTTCATGGGGCGTTAGGTAGGATAGTGAGGAGGACCTTTCCTCAGTAGCTTGGACAAATTAATCCCGAATTAAACATTACTCTTCATTCCAACAGAATGAAACCAAGACCTGAAGGGTTCAAACTACCTCCAAGTGACTTCACAGAATCCCAGAACAAAGCTTCCACATAGTCAGAGGAATACGAAACTATTCAGAGCAAGGTAAAATTAAAAGTGGTATCCAGGCCAGGTCAACATGTTGAAACCCTGTGTCTACTAAAAATACAAAATTAGCCGGGCATGGTGGTGCATGCCTGTCATCCCAGCTAGTTGGGAGGCTGAGGCAGGAGAACCGCTTGAACCCGGGAGGCGGAGGTTGCAGTGAGCCGAGATTGCGCCACTGCACTCCAGCCTGGGCAACAAGAGCGAAATTCCATCTCAAAAAAAAAAAATGCAAATGAAAAGACAGCATAGGTCAGGCACGGTGGCTCACGCCTGGAATCTCACTTTGGGAGGCTGAGGTGGGTGGATCAACTGAGGTCAGGAGTTCAAGACCAGCCTGGCCAGCGTGGTGAAACCCCATCTCTACTAAAAATACAAAATCAGGCCGGGTGCGTTGGCTCACGCCTATAATCCCAGCACTTTGGGAGGCCGAGGCGGGTGGATCACCTGAGGTCAGGAGTTCAAGACCAGCCTGGCCAGCATGGTGAAACCCCATCTCTACTAAAACTAGAAAAATTAGCCGGGCTTGGTTGCTGGTGCCTGTAATCCCAGCTACTCAGGAGGCTGAAGCAGGAGAATGGCTTGAACCCGGAGGCGGAGGTTGCAGTGAGTTGACATCATGCCACTGCACTCCAGCCTGGGTAACAAGAGCAAAACTCTGTCTCTAAATAAATAAATAAGAGAGAGAGAGAGATGATAGATTACACAGATTGGCCGTGCACAGTGGCTCACGCGTATAATCCCAGCACTTTGGGAGACCGAGGCAGGTGGACCACCTGATGTCAGGAGTTTGAGACCAGCCTAATCAACATGGTGAAACCCCGTCTCTACTAAAAATACAAAAATTAGCTGGGCGTGGTGGCTGGCGCCTGTAATCCCAGCTACTCAGGAGGCTGAGGCAAGGAGAGTCGCTTGAACCCGGGAGGCGGAGGTTGCAGTGAGCTGACATCATGCCACTGCACTCCAGCCTGGCGACAGAGTGAGAAGTCTGTCTCAAAAATAAATAAATAAATAAGTAAAAATAAGCTCATTTGGGGGCAATATGGCAAGACTGTAGTGTGGCCGGCAGGCGTTTCCAAGGACTGGCCAGGAGCTGGATGAAAGAGGATGACAACCATTAAGATGCAGGGCTGTCTTCTCTGTGCGTTAGCAAGTCTGTAGTAGACAAGGAAGGCTGAGAGGATTTAAAGTGTCTTCTTATCTTCTGGGAGGGGACAAAGACCAGGGAAGGAAATCAGGAGCAATGCTGGCTTTATTTCCCCGTCTTTAAAAATACATATGATCAGCCAGGCACAGTGGCTCACGCCTGTCATCCCAGCACTTTGGGAGTCCGAGGCGGGTGGATCACCTGAGGTCAGAGGTTGGAGACCAGCCTGGCCAACATGGTGAAACCCCATCTCTACTAAAAATATAAAATTAGCTGGGTGTGGTGGCGGGTGCCTGTAATCCCAGCTACTCGAGAGGCTGAGGCAGGAGAGTCGCTTGAACCCGGGAGGCGGAGGTTGCACTGAGCCGAGATGATGCCACTGCACTCCAGCCTGGGTAATAAGAGCGAACTCCGTCTCAAAAAATAAAAATAAAATAAAGTGAAATAAAATAAAATAAAATAAAATAATAAAATAAAATAAAATAAAATAAAATAAAATAAAATAAAATAAAATAAAAAATAGATGTGATCCTTGAAGAATACACACATCAGCTCAACTTCTCAAGATGGATGTGGTAATGATTTTATCTTTGCCGCTCTTAATGAATCCTCTGTGTGTGTGTGTGTGTTTGTGTGTGTGTGACTTTTGTTCGTTTGATGGAAATAAATTTTGCAAGGTTAGGGCTATTGGACTAGGAACATAATTGATGATGATGACATTAAAATTATATCAGGAACGGGATGTCTCTTCAATAAAACTTCATTACTTGGGATCTCATAAATTCAGAATTTACGCAGAAATTTATCTTAGCACAGGCTATTAACCAAAGACTGAGTAAATTAACTGTGTAAAGATTTCAGGAGAGAAGCTGGAATTACTTAAGAAAGCAAGACTTTCCGTAGCTTAGAAGCACTTTTTTTTTTTTTGCATCTGAAAATGTGAGATTAATTGTGATTGTCTATCAAATAATCAGATTTTCCACCCAAGCACTATTCATCAAAACTTTGGAAGTATCCAATATCATACTCATGGAAAGTAAGCGTATTTTTGTAACGTTCTGTAATACCTGCTGTTCAGTCGTGGAGAATGGTGTTATTCATAGTTAATATAAATTAGTGACATTTTTGTTACAGCGCGTTTTATCTGAGTGCAGTGAGTTACTTTATAAAATTCTGTTTTATAGATTCTGCCTATCCCTTACTGCTACTAGTTGATGTTTTTTGCTGAGGGCCTCTTTCAGGACTGACTTCTAGTTCTGGCCTGCTGATGTCTGCTTTTTTTTATTTTTTTATTTTTTAGACAGAGTTTCGTACTCGTTGCCCAGGCTGGACCGCAATGGCGTGATCTCGCCTCACTGCAACCTCCGTCTGCCAGGTTCAAGCGACTCTCCTGCCTCAGCCTCCAGAGTAGCTGGGATTACAGGCACGAGCCACCACATCCTTCTAATTGTCTGCATTTTTAGTAGAGACGGGGTTTTGCCATGTGGTCCAGGCTGGAATTATTTTAACATGCTATGCTGTTTACGAATGGACTTCTAGTTCTGGCCTGCTGATGTCTGTTTTTTGTGGGTTTTTTTTTTTTTTTTTTTAAGAGGGAGTTTCGCCCTTATTTCTCAGGCTGGACTGCAATTGTGCGATCTCACCTCACTGCAACCTCCATCTCCCAGGTTCAAGCAACTCTCCTGCCCCAGCCTCCTGAGTAGCTGGGATTACAGGCGCCCGCCACCACGCCTGGCTAATTTTTGTATTTTTAGTAGAGATGCAGTTCCTCCATGTTGATTAGGCTGGTCTCCAACTCCTGACCTCAGGTGATCCACCCGCCTCGGCCTCCCAAAGTGCTGGGATGACAGGCGTGAGCCACCACGCCGGGCTAATTTTGTATTTTTAGTAGAGACAGGGTTTCACCATCTTGGCCAGGCTGGTCTTGAACTCCTGACCTTGTGATCCGCCTGCCTCAGCCTCCCAAAGTGCTGGGATTATAGGCTTGAGCCACCGCGCCCGGCCTCGACGTTAGGTTGTCAATACATGAGTCTTGTGAGGCGGGGGGCAGAATTCAGCCCATTGACTGTCCGTGAGTGTCTTCAAATGGAAACATTTTCATCCACACCTTCGTCCATACAGCAAACACCCTCGATCACCCCCACAAAGAGGGTGGCCTCCCATGACTGAGATTCTGCAAAATTTAAAACAATAGAAGGCGGCCGGGCGCGGTGGCTAACGCCTGGCATCCCAGCACTTTGGGAGGCCGAGGCTGGTGGATCATGAGGTCAGGAGATCGAGACCATCCCGGCTAACACGGTGAAACCCTGTCTCTACTAAAAATACAAACAATTAGCCGGGCGAGGTGGCGGGTGCCTGTAGTCCCAGCTACTCGGGATGCTGAGGCAGGAGAATGGTGTGAACCCCAGAGGCGGAGCTTGCAGTGAGCCGAGATGGTGCCACTGCACTCCGGCCTGGGCGACACAGCGAGACTCCGTCTTAAAAAAAACAACAAAAGGCAATCGTCTAATCTTTGAATCAGAGTTGGCCTAGGGTTCTGCTTCCCTAAAATTCAAACTCCTTCTGGATAAGCCACCCACAGAAGTCATTTTAAAACATCATCTGGGGCCGGGCATGGTGTCTCGTGCCCACCATCCCAACACTTTGGGAGGCTGAGGTGGGAGGATGGCTCGAGGCCAGGAGTTCAAGACCAGCCTGGGCAACACAGCAAGACCCCCATCTCTAGAAAAAATAAAAACAAAAGGAACAGGCCCAGCATGGTGGCTCATGCCTGTAATCCCAGCACTTTGGGAGGCCGAGGCGGGCGGATGACCTGAGGTCAGGAGATCGAGACCAGCCTGGCCAACACGGTGAAACCCCGTCTCTACTAAAAATACAAACATTAGCCGGGCGTGGTGGCGGGCACCTGTAGTCCCAGCTACTCGGGAGGCTGAGGCAGGAGAATGGCGTGAACCCGAGAGGCGGAGCTTGCAGTGAGCCGAGATCGCGCCACCGCACTCCAGCCTGGGCGACAGAGCGAGACTCCGTCTCAGAAAAAAAAATTAAATAAATAAATAAGTAAATAAGATAATAAATAAATAATCAAATAAATAATAAATCATATATAAATAAATAATAAATAAATAAAACAAAAAACCCAAAATCAGAAAACCAAATTATATATGCTTATAAAATATCGTATAACCAAAAGTAATCCTACACTGAGGTCCAAGCAGCCTCTCCGTGGCCGACGCCAGTTCGCAATCCATTTCTGTGCCATGGAGAGAGACGGTTACCTGTGAATTTCAGACCTCTGCAAACTTCCCCCTCCCCCCACCACCCCAAGAAGCATTTAAAGACAGGTGTGGTCAGGCCTACAGCTGTCCATCTGCAAGGTGCGACATGCAGCCGTGGTGACATTGGACGTCGTGAGGGGGGACATGCACCCTGTCCAGAGATGACTGTCCCCGGGGAAGACGGCTGGCTTTTTCCGGCGAGCCATAAAACAAGCTGAAAATAAAACACAGCAAACAAGACGTAGCTGAGCTCAGATCGGATGACGTGGCCTGTTTCTCTGTGTTGAACGTTGTGATTAAATCTGGTGAGGCTCCCCCCCACTCCAGGGGGAGAGAATTTTTGATTTGGAGGTTAAGCCAACATTAGCAAGAAAACATAAAATAAAGTGAGTGCAATTGCCGTAAGCAACAGAGGCACCCTTGATTCCAGGAATGTTTAGCTACAAAACGAGCATCCGCATAACGGTGTAAATGCAGCTAATGACGTGTGCAGAAGCCCTAGCTGGGCCACTGCCTGTAACTAATAAGAAATCAATTAGCTAATGAAGTGCCGATTACATGCAATGCTAATCTGAGCTGGGGTATTTTGGGTTTTTTCATGTTTCTCTCTTCCCTCCTTCTCTCCTTTATGAGGCTGTTTAATTGTGAGTGCCATACGGAGCGTGCAGTGTACAGCATGGCTAATGAAACATCATTATATGGTCGCTGCATTCTCCGAAGGGCTGAACGAGACCTGCTTGCCAATTATTTTTAATTGCCACGTATATCCTCACAACTGCGTCTTCCACGGCGCGCTTCAGAGGCCCGGCTGTCATGTCACACACACACACACACACACACACACAGAGCCAGCTTCTGTTTTTCTCTGCAGCCTCTGGACGTTCAGCTGTGGTCTCGGCCACGGTGCGTGACAGAGGACAGCGCGGCGAAGCGTAAACAGGGCCTGGGTGAAAATGCTTCTCCCTTCCTTGGATGGAGCCTGGTGTGGGACCTCTCCATAAATCCCCTCTCTCCATACATCCCCTCTCTCCATACATCCCCTCTCCAGAGCAGCCTCTCCATACGTCCCCTCTCCAGAACAGCCTCCCCATATATCCCCTCTCCAGAGCAGCCTCCCCATACGTCCCCTCTCCAGAGCAGCCTCCCCATACGTCCCCTCTCCAGAGCAGCCTCTCCATATGTCCCCTCTCCAGAGCAGCCTCTCCATACATGCCCTCTCCAGAGCAGCCTCTCCATATGTCCCCTCTCCAGAGCAGCCTCCCCATATATCCCCTCTCCAGAGCAGCCTCTCCATATGTCCCCTCTCCAGAGCAGCCTCCCCATACGTCCCCTCTCCAGAGCAGCTTCTCCATACGTCCCCTCTCCATACATCCCCTCTCCAGAGCAGCCTCTCCATATGTCCCCTCTCCAGAGCAGCCTCTCCATACATGCCCTCTCCAGAGCAGCCTCTCCATACGTCCCCTCTCCAGAGCAGCCTCCCCATATATCCCCTCTCCAGAGCAGCCTCTCCATACGTCCCCTCTCCAGAACAGCCTCCCCATATATCCCCTCTCCAGAGCAGCCTCCCCATACGTCCCCTCTCCAGAGCAGCCTCTCCATATGTCCCCTCTCCAGAGCAGCCTCTCCATATGTCCCCTCTCCAGAGCAGCCTCCCCATATATCCCCTCTCCAGAGCAGCCTCCCCATATATCCCCTCTCCAGAGCAGCCTCCCCATATGTCCCCTCTCCAGAGCAGCCTCTCCATATATCCCCTCTCTACAGCACCTTCTCCATACGTCCCCTCTCTAGAGCACCTTCTCCGTATGTCCCTCTCCAGAGCAGCCTCTCCATACATGCCCTCTCCAGAGCAGCCTCTCCATATGTCCCCTCTCCAGAGCAGCCTCCCCATATATCCCCTCTCCAGAGCAGCCTCTCCATATGTCCCCTCTCCAGAGCAGCCTCCCCATACGTCCCCTCTCCAGAGCAGCTTCTCCATACGTCCCCTCTCCATACATCCCCTCTCCAGAGCAGCCTCCCCATATATCCCCTCTCCAGAGCAGCTTCTCCATACGTCCCCTCTCCAGAGCAGACCCAAGCTGGCCAGTCCAAGCGGAGCTGGCTCCGGGGTGGGCGGAGACCTGGCATCCGATACGCGTGGGCTGTTCCCCCAGGGACACACCTGGCCCCCGACATACGTGTTTCCACCCCGGGACTCCAGCCTTTCCAACACGTCGGCACCTTGCATTTATGAAGTGGCTTAGACTGCGTAACTCTGCAAGTGACAAGCTGTCACCCCTGCAAACCGTGCTTCTGACCTGGCTGCGGTCCTCGTCCCTGAAATTGGCAGCCGAAGAGAAGGCAGAGGCTCCTGGTGCCCCGACAGTTTGATACGTTCCCAGGGAGATTATGTATCTGTATCTCGGTTGTGGGAAGCTCACACGGCATGACGGAACTTTCAATCTTCCATCTAAACGGGCTGTGGTTTCCCTGATGTTGACCAATCCGGGTCAGGACTCCTCCTTCTTGCCATCCAACATCTGGAATCTCACCATACAATGGCCCTTGGACATGTGCTTTAAAAAATAATAATAACAGCTTGGCATGGTGGTTCACGCCTGTCACCCTAGCACTTTGGGAGGCCAAGGCGGGAGGATCACCTGAGGTCAGGAGTTCGAGACCAGCCTGACCAACATGGTGAAACCCTGTCTCTACTAAAAATACAAACATTTGCCTGGCCTGGTGGCAGGCACCTGTAATCCCAGCTACTTGGGAGGCTGAGGCAGGAGAATCGATTCAACCTGGGAGGCAGAGGTTGCAGTGAGTTGAGATCACGCCACTGCACTCCAGCCTGAGGTCAGGAGTTCGAGACCAGCCTGACCAACACGGTGAAACGTCTCTACTAAAAATACAAGCATTTGCCTGGCCTGGTGGCGGGTGCCTGTAATCCCAGCTACTTGGGAGGCTGAGGCAGGAGAACCGATTCAACCTGGGAGGCAGAGATTGCGGTGAGTCGACATCATGCCACTGCACTCCAGCCTGAGATCAGGAGTTCGAGACCAGCCTGACCAACATGGTGAAACCCCGTCTCTACTAAAAATTCCAAAATTACCCAGGCATGGTGGCAGGAACCTGTCATCCCAGCTACTTGGGAAGCTGAGGCAGGAGAATCGCTTGAACCCGGGAGGCGGAGGTTGCAGTGAGCCGAGATTGCACCACTGCACTCCAGCCTGGGGGACAGAGGAAGTCTCCATCTGAAAAAAAAAAAACAATAGTAATAATAATAAGAGAATTTGTTCCGTCAGAGGAGGTGTGAGTCTTTGCTTTAACTTTTGAATCACATGCAAATTAAATTAGTTAATCCAGCTAGCCCCCCTCCACCTCCCCATTTCAGGAAACCCTGCCACCAGCAGCTGCCAGGGGTTCAGACGTCAGGGGAAGACAGATTTGATGTGACATTTTGTTCATTAAATAAACAAACCTGGTTCGGATAACAGCATTAGGTAGAAAGGCCCATCAATTCTCGTACCCTTAGTTCACGTAATGAGAAGTGACAATTTTTCTTTTACGTTCAGACACGCTCTATCGAGGAACAAAAGGGGGACAGGTGCCTGGCTACCACGGTCGGTATGAAAAAAAAAAGAAACAGAGAACAGCTGATGTATATTAATGAGAAACGTAACTTCTGGCCCAAGGCAACCTCAAGTCCATGGGGCTACTAACGACGTTACGGGGGAAAGAAAAAAAAATCGAACGACTATTTTTTTTTTAATTGTTTCATAATTTGGGGTTTTCTCCCCGGTTGACTTGGGACATTCGACAGAGTCACTGGCCGTGAAGAAGACAGTGGGGTTTCTACGTATGAGAACGAAAAAGGGAATCGCCAAAGACTTGTGCCTTTTTCCCATCGAAGATGAGGCATTGTCTTCAGCAGAGGCTCAGATCTGGGAGCAAAGGGAGTGGAAACCTGTCTGTAAAGAACCTCAACCCACAGGACACCTGAGCACGTGGGGACTTTAAAACTTTCATCGCCCTTGCAGATCCGAACGACAAACGCATTGAAATCTCAGGCAGTCGACCGTCCCGGCAGCAATGCCAGTATGTTTGGGTACATAAAAAATCACACCGCAGGCCGAGTGCGGTGGCTCACACCTGTCATCCCAGCACTTTGGGAGGCTGAGGCAGGTGGATCACCTGAGGTCAGGAGTTCGAGATCAGCCTGGCCAACATGGTGAAACCCCGTCTCTACTAAAAATACAAAAAACTAGCCGGGCATGGTGGTAGCTGCCTGTAATCCCAGCTACTCGGGAGGCTGAGGCAGGAGAATGGTGTGAACCCGGGAGGCAGAGGTTGCAGTAAGCTGACGTCGCACCATTGCACTACAGCCTGGGCAACAAGAGTGGAATTCCTTCTCAAAAAAAGAAAAAAAAAAATCACACCACAGGCCGGGTGTGGTGGCTCATGCCTGTCATCCCAGCACTTTGCGAGGCTGAGGCAGGCGGATCACCTGAGGTCTGGAGTTTGAGACCAGCCTGGCCAACAGGGCAAAACCCCATCTCTGCTAAAAATACAAAAAATTAGCTGGCCATGGCAGTAGCTGCCTGTAATATAGACAATATTTCCTCTGCACGTGTGTGTTTGTGTGTTTTTATGTGTTTGTGTGCATGTATTTGTGCTTTTTGTGTGTGTGTGTACGTGTATTTGTGCATTCATATGTGTGCATGTTCGTCTGTGTGTCTGTATGTTTATGTGTATTTGTGCATGTTTGTGTGCATGACTGTGTGTATCTGTGCATGTTTGTGAGTTTATTTGTGAATGTCTGTATCTGTGCATGGTTTTTTTTGTGTATCTGAGCATGTGTGTGTTTGTGCATGTTTGTCTGTGTGTATTTGTGCATGTATGTCTGTTTCCGCATGCTCATATGTGTGTCTGTGTGTGTCTGTTTGCATGATTGTGCATGCATGTGTGTTTCTGCACGTCTGTTTGTGTATATTTGTTTATATGTGTGTATTTGTGCACGTTTGTGTGTGTTTCTGTGTGTTTGTGCATGTTTTATGCCTGATTGTGTGTATGTGCAAGGAAGGAAGGAGGGAAAGGGAGAGAGAGACAGGAAAGAAGGAAAGAAGGAAAGGACGAGAGAAGAAAGAAAAAAAAAGAAAGAAAGAAAGAGAGAAAGAGAGAGAGAAAGAGAAAGAAAAAGAAAGAGAGAAAGAGAAAGAAGAAAGAAATAAAGAAAGAAAGAGAAAGAAGAAAGAAAGAAGGAAGAAAAGGAAGAGAGAAAAAGAAAAAAAGAAACAGAAAGAAAGAAAGAGTAAGAAAGAAGAAAGAAAGAAGGAAAGGAAGAGAGAAAAAGAAAGACAGAAACAGAAAGAAAGAAAGAGTAAGAAAGAAGAAAGAAAGAAAGAAAGAGAGAAAGAGAGAAAGAAAGAAAGGAGAGAGAGAGAGAGGAAGGAAGAAAGAAAGAAGAGAGAGAGAGAGGAAGGAAGAGAGAGAAGTATTCACCTAGAAGAGATCATGCAAAAACGCAAGAGTGTGGCTGTACCCTGGGAACAAATGGGAAGATTGTATGTTGGTGACCCTTGATCTTACTCTTTTATTTCAAAAAATTATAAGGTTTTTGCAGGAAGGGGCAGATAGTCTTCAACTTATTGAGGTGGCTGGATGAATGGATAGATGGATGATTGGATGGATGGATGCATGGATGGATAGATGAATGGGTAGGTGAATGGATCAATGGATGGATGGATGAGTGGATAGACGGATGGGTGGATGGATAGATCGATGGATGGGTGGGTGGATGGATGGATAGATAAGTAAATAGATGAGTGGCTGTGTGGATGAATGAATGGATGGATGGATGAATGGATGGATAGATGGGTGGGTGAATGGATGACTGAATAGATGAGTGGATGGATGGATGGATGAATGAATAGAAGAATGAAAAATGGATAGATGGAAGAATGAGTGGTTGGATTGATGGATGAATGGATATATGGATAGATGGGAGGGTGGATGGATGGATGGATGCATAGATAGATGGATGATTGGTAGGTTGGATAGATAACAGATGAATGGATGGATGATTGGGTAGGTAGATGGATGAATGGATGATTGGATGGATGCATGAGTGAATGGATGGACGGATAGATGGATGATTGGATGGATGGATGGATGGATGGATGGATAGATGGATGGGTGGGTTAATGGATGGATAGATAAATAAATACATGAGTGGGTGGATGGATGAATGGATGGAACGTTGGATGGATGGATGGATGGATGGATGGATGGATGGATGAATAGATAGATGGATGGGTGGGTTAATGGATGGATAGATAAATAAATACATGAGTGGGTGGATGGATGAATGGATGGAATGTTGGATGGATGGATGGATGGATGGATGGATGAACAAACAGATGAATGAATAATGGATAGATGAATGAATAAGTAGATGGATGGATGGATGGAAGGATGCATAGATAGACGGATGATTGGAAGGTTGGATGGATAATGGATAAATGGATGGATGAGTGGGTAGGTGGATGGATGGATGGATGAGTGGGTGGATGGATGGATGGATGGAAGGATGGATGGATGGGAAGATGGGTAGATAAATGGGCAGATGGGTGAGTGGGTGGGTGGATGGATGGATGGATGGATGGATTGATAGATAAATAGATGAGTGGCTGGGTGGATGAATGAATCGATGGGTAGATGGGTGGGTGGATGGATGGAAGAAGGGATGGAAGGCTGGATGGATGAGTGGACGGATGGATAGATAGATGAATGAATAATGGATAGATGAATGAATGAGTGGATGGATGGATGGATGGATGCATAGATAGATGGATGATTGGAAGGTTGGATGCATAATGGATGAATGGATGGATGAGTGGGTAGGTCGATGGATGGATGGATGGAGGGATGGATGGATGGATGCATGCATGCATGGATGGATGGATGCATGGATGGATAGATGGGTAGATAAATGGGAAGATGGGTGAATGGTTGGATGGATGGATGGATGGACAGATGGATGGGTGGGTGAATGGATGGATAGATGAATAAACAGATGAGTGGCTGGGTGGATGAATGAATCGATGGGTAGATGGGTGGGTGGATGGATGGATGAAGGGAAGGAAGGTTGGATGGATGGGTGGGTGGATGGATAGATGAATGAACAGATGAATGAATCATGGATAAATGAATGAATGAGTAGATGGATGGGTGGATGGAAGGTTGAATGCATAATGGATAAATGGATGGATGTTCTCAGTAGGTGGATGGATGGATGGATGGATGGATGGATGGATGAAAGTTTGGATGGATGGGTGGATGGATGGATAGATAGATTAATGAACAGATGAATGAATAATGGATAAATGAATGAATGAGTAGATGGATGGATGGATGGGTGGATGGAAGGATGCATGGATAGATGATTGGAAGGTTGGATGGATAATGGATAAATGGATGGATGAGTGGGTAGGTGGATGGATGGATGGATGGATATATAGATGGGTAGATAAATGAGCAGATGGGTGAGTGGGTGGATGGATGGGTGAATGGATGAATGGGTGGGTGGAATGATGTATGGAAAGATTAATGGACGAAGAGATAGATGGGCAGATGAATGGGCAGATACGTAAGAAAAAAACCTGTCATTGAATATGTGTGTCTAGATTGTGCCTATCTAGTTTTTAAAAGGCTTGGATTCCTCACCAAATTTCTTTAGGGCCATCCAAGAATTCCATATTTCCTGGTTTATGGAGCGATAGGGCAAGCTATTTTTAAGCCATACAAAGTTTAACTGTGTATTTTGTCATATAGGGAATTTTTAAACAGGAGAAAACTCTTCTTGTCTTATTTATCATTAAAAGTAGGGTAAGTATTTTCTCTTAAAAAGCTTACATTTTCTTTGCCTGAGGAAATAAATAAGAATGGCTGAAATCTGTTCGGAAAACTAGTCAGCTGATGCAGCCAGGGAAACCTCTATATAAGCAGAAAATAATCTCGGACACAAGCAACAGCCACCTAATTAATGGACTGATCTGCGCAGGCTCTGGTGGTGAGTGAGAACACTCCTGTCTGTCGTACGGTGAAGGTAGAGCATTTAATCCTGCTAGCTGCACATTTTATAGACATCTATGGAAGTTATGAACAGCTGATTAGTGCAGTTCAGAGATACAGAAAGCCTTCAGGCAGGTCTGTCCTCTAAACTGGGGCACGGACATTAAGAGCAGGGACGAAAGAAATACGTGATCAGGAAATTAATGAATCCAGGATCCCCAGGAAGGGAGATGGACAGCTACCCTCTTCGACAAAACGGCGCATCCCATCACGGAGATCAAAATGACAAAGCCACATGGGATGAGTTTCCATCCACCCCAAGAATTCACCTCATTCATTGGATCTGCTTACATTTTGTTGTAGGGATAGGTGAGCAAACACTTTCCCTGGGGGAAAAGATAGCCATACAAATAAACCAGTTTACCTGAGTCATTTAATCCCAAAAAGTCAGCTCCAAAAGTCAAGTCTCATAACTACGTAGATGTTTTGGGTTTTCTTTGTTTTTTTTGTTTGTTTGTTTCTGATGGAGGCTTATAACTATGTAGATCTTGTTTTTCTGTTGTTGTTTGTTTTCGTTTTTGTTTTTTGAGATGGAGTCTCACTCTGTCACCCAGGCTGGAGTGCAGTGGCACAATCTCAGCTCACTGCAACCTCCGCCTCCCTGGTTCAAGCAATTCTCCTGCCTCAGCCTCCTGAGTTTCTGGGGCTACAGGGACCTGCCACCATGCCCGGCTGAATTTTTGTATTTTTAGTAGAGACGGGGTTTCATCATGTTGGCCAGGATGGTCTCGATCTCCTGACCTCGCGATCCGCCCACCCCAGCCTCCCAAAGTGCTGGGATTACAGGCATGAGACACTGCTCCTGGCCTACTATGTAGATCTTGAATCAGCATTGAGTCTCAACATCCTTCCTCATTTGAGACATTAAAACCACAAGATACCACTACATATCCACAGGAATGGCTACAAAAAAAAAAAGATGTTATTAAGTATTTGTGAGAACCACTGTGTGTAGAAATGTCAACTGATATAGTCACTTTGGAAAACACATTGACAGTTTCTTAAAAAGTGGAACACACACACCTGTCATCCCAGCACTTTGGGAGGCCGAGGCAGGTGGATCACCTGAGGTCGGGAGTTCGAGACCAGCCTGACCAACATGGAGAAACCCCGTCTTTACTAAAAATACAAAAATTAGCCGGGTGTGGTGGTGGGCGCCTGTAATCCCAGCTACTCGGGAGGATGAGGCAGGAGAATCGCTTGAACCCTGGAGGCGGAGGTTGTGTTGAGCTGAGATCGAGCCACTGCACTCCAGCCTGGGCGACAGAGTGAGACCCCATCAAAAAAAAAAAAAAAAGTTGAACACAAACTCACCATTCAATCCAGCAATTCCTCCTGTGGGCGTCTACCCAAGAGAAATGAAAACTTATGTTTACTCAAAGACTTGTAGGTAAATATTCCTAGCAGCATGATTTGTAACAGCCAAGACGTGTAAACAGCCTATGTCTTTTCAGCAGGTGAACAGATAAAGACACTGTGGTCTTTCCCTGCAATGGAATATTATTCAGCCAATGACATACCGATATATGGTCCAACACGGATGCACCTCAAAAACATAACGCTAAGTAGAAGTCTGGGATAAAAGACTCCATATTGTGTAATTCGATGCAAAGAAATTGCGCAGAAAAGGAAAATCCATAGAGGCAGAATAGAGATGAGTGGTTGCCTGAGGCTCTGGGCAGAAATGGGATAAGGGAAGACAAGTGAGTGACAATAGCTATGCAATTTCTTTTCTGGGGTGATAAAAATATTCCAGAATTAGATTTGGTGATGGTCGTGCAACTCTACAAATTTACTAAGAGGCATTGAACTGTATAGTCAAAATGAATGCATTTCGTGGTATGTCAATTAAACCTCAATACAGTTGTTTTTTTGTTTGTTTTTTGTTTTGTTTTGTTTTGTTGCTTTGTTTTTTGAGACGAAGTCTCGCTCTTGTCGTCCAGGCTGGAGTGCAATGGGGTGATCTCAGTTCACTGCAACCTCCGCCTCCCAGGTTCAAGCGATTCTCCTGCCTCAGCCTCCCAAGTAGCTGGGATTATAGGCGTCCACCAACAGGCCCTGCTAATTTTTGTATTTTTAGTAGAGATGGGGTTTCACCATGTTGGCCAGGCTGGTCTCGAACTCCTAACCTCAGGTGATCTGCCTGCCTCGGCCTCCCAATATGCTGGGATTACAGGCATGAGCCACTGCGCCCAGCCCCTTCTCTCTCTCTCTCTATTTTTTTTTTTTGTTGTTGTTTGTTTGTTTTTACAGAGTTTTGCTCTTGTTGCCCAGGCTGGAGTGCAATGACACGATCTTGGCTCTCTGCAACCTCAGCCTCCCGGGTTCATGCGATTCTCCTGCCTCAGCCTCCCGAGTCGCTTGGATTACGGGCACCGGCCACCATGCTCGGCTAATTTGGTATTTTCAGTAGAGACGGGGTTTCACCATGTTGGCCAGGCTGGTCTCAAACTCCTGACCTCAGGCGATCCACCCGCCTCAGCCTCCCAAAGTGCTGCGATTACAGGTGTGAGCCACTGCACCTGGCCGAAATAATGACATTCTTATCAGGCATGACATCCTAAGTCCTTCAGAGTGACCTCCCAGAGCTCAAAGGCAAAATCCAGATCTGTTTGGGGGCAAGCTTATATCTTTACTACACATTCACCGAAGGAAAAAAAAAAAAAAGTATGTTTTCTAGATGCCAAGACCTCTGCTAAAATTAGTTACAGCTATAAACAAGTGGTCACATTTTGTACTTTTCATGTCTCTGTGAGTCACGGTCACTGCCCACGTCAGACGCTTCCTTTTCCAGCAGGGTCCAGGAATTCACGATGCTCACAGCCCAGCCATTTCCATGGCCCGGCCAGGCCCTGAACGCAGAAGCTTGCTCTGCAAATGGGATGCAGGCGGGCCAGCCAGCACCGTCGCGCTCGGGGACCCCTGCCTCCCAAGCCAGCCGGCGACATCCCCTTTCTTGGGAGATTAAGACCCCATTTGTTGTCATGATCTGCAGGTTCATCCCTAATGATCCACGTCCCCGCTCCAAAGCCGTCTTGCTGACAGCAAGTGCCACGTGTGATTAGAGGCCCTGAGAGAGTTGATCCCCGCCACCCTCCACGTGCCTGCAATCTAATCACTTCTCAGACAGACAGTGAGGTTCTAGGGACAGGCAGCGACCTGCGCTCTCCCCACCCTCTCCCCCGAATGCCTGCAAACGCTAACTGGGGCTTGGTCTTCTCTGTTAGAGTCTTGGTGATGCCCTGGACAGCAGCAACTCCACGCAAACTATCCAAAAGACCCCCACCCTCCGGATAGTGGATGGCAAAGTGGTGTCTGAGACCAACGACACCACAGTTCTGAGGCATGAAGCCAGCAGAAGCAGGGTGTGTACCCTTTGGGGAGCAGGAGGCCCATAAACAGTTCAGAGTTCATTGGATGTTACAGCTGCTAAATAAAGAAAAGGTGTCTAGGCATCAAAGCCTGCTTACACCCTGCCACACACAGATCACAGATGCCCACGCCCAGGTCAGCTGGAAACTACGGACTGTCTGCAGCTCCTCATGCTTTCGAGGTACCCCTGGACAGCAGCTCCCCAGGTTACGCAGAGACCTCCTTTGCAACCTGTTACTATTTGTCGTTTTCTTTACCGAGTGTCTCCAAGGAACCCTTCACACAAATCTCATTAAAAACCTCATCAATACTTGGAAGGCCGACGCAGGTGGATCAAGAGGTCAGGAGATCGAGACCATCCTGGCTAACACGGTGAAACCCCGTCTCTACTAAAAATACAAAAAAATTAGCCGGGCGTGCTGGTAGGCGCCTGTAGTCCCAGCTACTCAGGAGGCTGAGGCAGGAGAATGGCGTGAATCCAGGAGGCGGAATTTGCAGTGAGCTGAGATCGCGCCACTGCACTCCAGCCTGGGTGACAGAGCGAGACCCCATCTCAAAAAAACAAAACAAAACAAAACAAAAAACCTCCTCATCACACTTAAGAAACAAGGTTCTCTCTTCCCCCGTGGTCAATGGGGAAGTACCTGTTGGACTTGCCCCAGTCACCTGCTCCAGCCTCTGGTGCATATCAAAACATCTCTGTCTGTTTCTCAAATGATTGGGGTGAGGTATGAGGGGCCGGGCATGGCGGCTCACACCTGTAATCCCAGCACTTTGGGAGGCCGAGGTGGGCGGATCCCCTGAGGTCAGGAGTTCGAGACCAGCCTGACCAACATGCTGAAACCTCGTCTCTACTAAATATACACAAATTAGCCAGATGTGGTGGCGGGCACCTGTCATCCCAGCTACTCGGGAGGCTGAGGCAAGAGAGTCGCTTGAACCCAGGAGGTGGAGGTTGCAGTGAGCCGAGATCACACCACTGCACTCCAGCCTGGGCGACAGAGTGAGACTCCGTTTCGAACGAAAGAAAGAAAAAGAAGAAAGAAAGAAAGACAGAAAGAAAGAAAGACAGAAAGAAAGAAAGAAAGAAAGAAAGAAAGAAAGAAAGAAAGAAAGAAAGAAAGAAAGAAAGAAAGACGGAAGGACGGAAGGAAGGAAGGAGGAAGGAAGGAAAGAAATGAAGGAAGGGAGGAAGGGAAGGAAGGAAGGAAGAAAGAAAAGGGCTTTTCTTTTCTTTTTTTTTTTTTCTGGAAGGCTTTTAAGCCAAAGTGTTGAGAAGTAAATTGAACCCACACGCGTCTGATTCATTTAGCCCTTAACTCATCGAAAAGTCATTGGGTCAGAATGGCTTGATTTCAGAAAGCATTACAAAATGTCACTCCCTTTGAGCGAGGGAGAAGTACTCTGTTAGGAAATTTCTCTCATTATCCCAGAGAGAGGGTTGACGTCTCTGGAAAATACACACACACACACACACACACATACACACACACCCATAAAAAGGCCTTGAAGACTGGATGGGGTTAATATTGATTCAATGTTTCCACTTAGCCCTGGTCATGGAAGCAGAGAAAACACTCTCACCCTTTTCAAGAGGAACTTCACACTTCCTTGGGGGATGGCTCCCCACCAGCAAAGCCACTTTCTGCAGAAGAAAATAAAATCTGGCCGGGCGCAGTGGTTCACGCCTGTCATCCCAGCACTTTCCTAGGCCGAGGCAGACAGATCACGAGGTCAGGAGATCAAGACCAGCCTGGTTAACACGGTGAAACCCCGACTCTACTAAAAATACAAAAAATTAGCCGGGCGTGTTGGCGGGTGCCTGTAATCACAGCTACTCGGGAGGCTGAGGCAGGAGAATCGCCTGAACGCGGGAGGTTGAGGTTGCAGTGAGCCGAGATTGCGCCACTGCCCTCCAGCCTGGGAGACAGAGCAAGCTTCTGTCTCAAAAAAGAAAAAAATAAAAAGAAAAAATGAAATCTTCTGGCTGGGCGCGGTGGCTCATGCCTGTCATCCCAGCACTTTCGGAGGCCGAGGCGGGCAGATCACGAGGTCAGGAGATGAAGACCAGCCTGGTTAACATGGTGAAACCCCATCTCTACTAAAAATACAAAAAATTATCCGGGCGTGGTGGCGGGCACCTGTAATCCCAGCTACTCGAGAGGCTGAGGCAGGAGAATCGCCTGAACCCGGGAGGTGGAGGTTGCAGTGAGCTGAGATTGTGCCATTGCACTAGAGCCTGGGTGACAGAGCGAGACTCCATCTCAAAAAATAAAACAACAGAAAAAAAATGAAATCTTATGGCCAGGTGCAGTGGCTCACGCCTGTAATCCCAGCACTTTGGGAGGCTGAGGCGGGAGGATCATGAGGTCAGGAGATCGAGACCATCCTGGCTAACATGGTGAAACCCTGTCTCTACTAAAAATACAAAAAATTAGCCGGGCATGGTGGCAGGTGCCTGTAGTCCCAGCTACTCGGGAGGCTGAAGCAGGAGAATCACTTGAACCCGGGAGGCGGAGGTTGTAGTGAGCCGAGATCGCGCCACTGCACTCCAGCCTGGGTGACAGAGAGAGATTCCGTTTCCAAAAAAAAAAAAAACAAAAAACAAAAACAGAAATCTTCACACCGTGGCAATATCAAAGCCGACATGGTCTTGGGATGGTCAACATTCTACGGCCACCATATTGGGTGTGTAATGCATGGAAATGTCAACATCCTACGGCCACCATATTGGGTGTGGAATGCATGGAAATGTCAACATCCCACGGACACCATATTGGGTGTGGAATGCATGGAAATGTCAACATCCTACGGACACCATATTGGGTGTGGAATGCATGGAAATGTCAACGATTGGGTGTGTAATGCATGGAAATGTCAACATCCTATGGACACCATATTAGGTGTGGAATGCAAGGAAATGTCAACATTCTATGGCCACCATATTGGGTGTGCAATGTGTGCAAATGTCAACGTCCTACGGACACCATATTGGGTGTGGAATGCGTGGACATGTTGGGGAGAGAAAGATGGGGCAGGCAAGAGCTCCTTACAGCCCCTTCTGAAACAAACGCAATCACGTAGGGCAGGTTGAGAACCAGCAAATATCCCCTCTGGTGTTTGCCCTCCTTTTGGAGTCTGGGTTTCCAAACATGAACAACCAAACATCAGGTTGACGAAGCAATCACCATATAACAATGTTCAATCCCTAACATTGACAGAAATGAAAATCACCAGTGCAGCATCTACAAAAGTCTCCTTTTATCCATGAAGGATGCATTTCAAGACCCCACGGGGATGCCGGAAACATCCAGTAGCAGCAAGACCTGTATATGCTGTGCTTCCTCCTAGACGCACATACCTATTCTAAAGTTTAGTTTGTAAGTTAGGCAGAGCCAAAGACAAACAACAATAACTAATAGTAAGATAGAACCATTATAGAAATACTCAAGCATCACTCCTCTTGCACGCCGGGGCCATTTTTTAAGTCAAGTAAAGGTTCTTCAACACAAGCATTAAGATACCACAACACTCGCTCTGATCACTGAAGCGGTTGCTAAGTGACTAATGGACGGATTGTGTCTACAGCATGGTGGGGGCACCAGACAGAAAGATGAGTCATATCCCATGCGAGACACATCAGAATAGCACACAATTAAAAAACCACATAAATCGTTGCTTTCTGGAAAAAAAATTTTTTTTTAGATGGAGTCTCGCTCTGTTGCCCAGGCTGGAGTGCAGTGGCGTGTTCTTGACTCACTGCAACCTCTGCCTCCTGGGTTCAAGCAATTCTCCTGCCTCAGCCTCCCGAGTAGCTTGGATTACAGGCATGTGCCACCACACCTGGCTAAATTTTGTATTTTTAGTGGAGACGGGGTCTCATCATGTTGTCCAGGCTGGTCTCGAATTCCTGACCTCAAGTGATCCACCTGCCTCAGCCTCCCAAAGTGCTGGGATTGCAAGCATTAGCCACCACGCCCGGCTGCAAATCTTAGGTAGGAATTTGTTTTGTTTTGATTTGTTTTTTTGAGCCGGAATTTCACTCTTGTTTCCCAGGCTGGAGTGCAATGGCGCAATCTCGGCTCACCACAACCTCTGCCTCCCGGGTTCAAGTGATTCTCCTGCCTCAGCCTCCTAAGTAGCTGGGATGACAGGTATGTGCCACCACGCCCAGCTAATTTTGTATTTTTAGTAGAGATGGGGTTTCACCCTGTTGCCAGGCTGGTCTGGAACTCCTGACCTCAGGTGATCTGCCTGCCTCAGCCTCCCAAAGTGCTGGGATTACAGGTGTGAGCCACTGCAGCTGGCCAGGTAGGATCTTTATAGCAGTGTGAGTACGAACTGATACACATACACATCCAAATCTCGGGAACTTGTGGATGCAGTAGGCTGTCTGGCAAAAGGAACTTTGCTGATCCCATTCAGATAAGGGGTCTTGAAATGGGGGATTATGCTGGGTTATCTGGCTGGGCCTTAAAGGTAAACACAAGAGACCACGAGCCAGGGAGGCAGAGGGAGTTTCCATAGAGAGGTAGAGGAGATAGAAGGTGATGGGATGTATGGTCACAGGTCAACGAATGCAGGAGGCCCCAGACGACAAGAAAACAGGTTCTCAGCACGTATTAAAAGACCTGCATGGGCCAGGCACAGTGGCTGATGCCTGTAATCCCAGCACTTTGGGAGGCTGAGGTGGGTGGATCACGAGGTCAAGAGATCAAGACCAGCCTGGCCAACGTGGTGAAACCCTGTCTCTATTTTAAAAATACAAAAATTAGCCAGGCGTGGTGGTATGCTCCTGTAGTCCCACCTACTCAGGAGGCTGAGGCAGGAGAATCGCTTGAAACCAGGGGGCGGAGGTTGCAGGGAGCCGAGATTGCGCCATTGCACTCCAGCCTGCTGACAGAGTGAGATTCCGTCTCAGAAAAAAAAAAAAAAAAAAAAAAAAGACCTGCATGTATTAAAAGACCTGAATGTTGTCTTTGAAAGATGTCCAGCCAGGTGTGGTGGCTCATGCCTGTAATGTTAGCACTTCGGGAGGCCGAGGCAGGCGGATCACTGGAGGTCAGGAGTTCGAGACCAGCCTGGCCAACATGGTGAAACCCCGTCTCTACTAAAAATACAAAAAAAAAAAAAATTAGCCAGATGCACTGGTGCACGCCTGTAATCCCAGCACTTTGGGAGGCCCAGGCAGGTGGACTACTTGATGTCAGGAGTTCAAGACCAGCCTGACCAACACGGTGAAACCCCGTCTCTACTAAAAATACAAAAATTAGCTGGGCGTGGTGGCGGGTGCCTGTAGTCCCAGCTACTTGGGAGGCTGAGGCAAGAGAATCGCTTGAACCTGGGAGGCAGAGGTTGTAGTGAGCCGAGATCACGCCACTGCACTCCAGCGTGGGCAACAGAGCAAGACTCCATCTCAAAATACTAACAATCCGTGGATATCCAATGATTCTAGTATCGAAAAGAAATTCTAAATTGCTCCTTTAGCCTGAGTTCCTGTTCTCCTTTAATTTTTTGCTCTCCCTTGAAGGGTAATTATTTAAAAGAATTATCTTTTGGTTGGCAATCATCTCATTTTTAACACTTACTGTCGTATCTCAGAAAAAAATGAGGTCGGAGGGATCCTATTTGCTCAGAAATACCCCTCCTGTAATAACAGAACTTTGCCAATGTTCTCCGCAGTTACTTGGTTTTAGTTTTAATTTATATTTTATCCAGGAAAAGAACACAGACGAATATAAATAAAACGTTCGGTGTCCGCCCCCAGTAACCAGTTTTCCAAAACTTTTCTCTTTTGAATTTTCTTATTTATTTATTTACTCATTTATTTTTTTGAGACAGAGTTACACTCCTGTTGCCCAGGCTGGAGTGCAACGGCATGGTCTCGGCTCACGGCAACCTCTGCCTCCCGGGTTCAAGAGATTCTCCGGCCTCAGCCTCCCGAGTAGCTGGGATTACAGGCGCCCGCCATCACACCCAGGTAATTTTTGTATTTTTAGTAGAGACGGGGTTTCACCATGTTGGCCAGGCTGGTCTCGAACTCCTGACCTCAGGTGATCCACCCACCTTGCCTTCCCAAAGTGATGGGATTACAGGTGTGAGCCACTGCGCCCAGTCTGTGGTGTGATTTTTTTTTTTTCTTTTTTTGAGACAGAATTTCGCTCTTGTTGACCAGGCTGGAGTGCAGTGGCGTGATCTCAGCTCACTACAACCTCTGCCTCCCGGGTTCAAGGGATTCTGTTGCCTCAGCCTCCCCAGTAGCTGGGATTACAAGTGTACACCACCATGTCCGGCTAATTTTTGTATTTTTAGTAAAGACAGGGTTTCTCCATGTTGGTCAGGCTGGTCTCGAACTGCCGACCTCAAGTGATCCTCCCACCTCAGCCTCCCAAAGTGCTGGAATTACAGGGGTGAGCCACCACGCTCGGCCCCCAGTAACCAGTTTTTTTCCTATATGTCTTGCTACATTTATCTCAGCCAGAAGCAAAAATGCACAATAATCTCATCCTTATGGACAGAAAGGACCATTGTCTTTCATAAAACCAGCTCGTCTTTCCAAACAGTTTAAGTGCCTGGTTGTAGTTTCAATAGGACTGATTTCTCCCACGAAGAGGTTGGAAGATCTGATGTCACAACCTCCACCGACCAGACCAGCCCGGGCAGTTTTCCACGGACACATTTGCTTCCCTTTGACTCATGACTGCACTTTTGTTCTAGATTTCCGGTTTCCGATGGCCCTGGCATCCAGCATCTAGAAGGCCAGGCTTGGTGGCTCACACCTGTGATTCGAGCACTTTGGGAGACCAAGACAGGAGGATCGCTTGGGGCCAAGAGTTCGAGACCGGCCTGGGCAACATAGTGAGACCCTGTCTTTACAAAAATAAAAATTAGCTGGGCATGGTGGCACATGCGTGTTGTGTAATCCCAGCTACTCAGGAGGCTGAGGTAGGAGGCTCACTTGAGCCTGGGAGCTGGAAGATGTAGTGAGCCGAGATCACACCACTGCACCCCAGTCTGAGCGACAGGGTGAGACCCTGTCTCAAAAAAAAAAATGTTTTAAATGAGAACAAAAGTAGGCTACATCTGTAGGTGTTAACACCTTGATTTGTGTTCTAATGGAAACCCTCTGCTTGTTAATCCAAGCCAAGGATTTTTAAAAAATTCTTTAAATAACCTGTTACAGGCGTTGCTGCCTCCATTTTTCTGAGCCCATTCCTGGCTCCATTTTTCCCTCCAATATCCCGCCAGCTTTGTCCCGAATTACAGACACTTCCAAACAGACACAGGCCCAGAGGAATCTTCCACAATTTCCCTAGACCCACGGGGCAGTAGGTTGTGCACTTCTGACTGGGCGCAGTGGCTCACGCCTGTCATCCCAGCACTTTGGGAGGCCGAGGCAGGTGGATCGCCTGAGGTCAGGAGTTCGAGACCAGCCTGGCCAACATGGTGAAACTCGGTCTCTAGTAAAAATACAAAAATTACCCAGGCATGGTGGCGGGCGTCTGTCATCCCAGCTACTCAGGAGGCTGAGGCAGGAGAATCGCTTGAACCCGGGAGGCGGAGGTTGCAGTGAGCCGAGATCACGCCACTGCATTGCAGCCTGGGCCACAGAGCGAGACTCCGTCTCAAAAAAGAAGATGCGTTTCAGACCCGTCTCTGGGAGGACAGTGCATGGGGCTGAAAACCACTGATGGCTTTGGCTGGAAAGTTTGCAACGCCACAAATTTTGCTGAGGAATGTTCCCCGCGGTTTCCCGAAAAAAAGCATCACGGATGTTCAGGAGGAGAACCGCCCTCCATAAAGCTGGCTGCAAAACCCACAGGACATAACGGAGCGTCTTTAGTGAGCGCAGCGCTTCCGCTGGCTTGGGCCCTGAGGCTGGACACCACCCTGCCTGGGAACGTGGACCCTGCCACGTTGACTCACGGGGTGGAACATCTCCTTTATTTTCTGCAGGCCCTGCCCCACCAGAATGGTGGGTGGTTCCCATTTCTCTTCGGTCTGGTCGTGTTTTTTAACTACTGACGCTTTGCACGTCCAATCCTGGGGATGAGAGGGGACACGGCAAAGTCACCAGGGTAACTAGTGCCAGCCCTCTGCACCCTGGGACGCCCACACTCGTGTGCCTTTCTTTGGCATCAGGCGTGTTCTTTTTAAGGAATACGTTTCGTTTTCATCGACCGGGACATAAATGAAAAGAAAACAAGTCGTGAGCGTAAAATACGGTGAACGGTGGCCTCACCGCATTTGTGACACACTCGTTGCTTTCCCCAGCGTCCTCGCGTCATAAATATGGAACTGCGGTGAGCAGTGGACCTGCCCCTTCTTTGCTTCCTACCTACAAATCCAGAGGGGTCCACCTCCAGCCCCTGGCTATGTCCACACCACCAGGAGATTTACAACAGCGGCCGGCCTAGGCGGGGTCTCGTTAAAGGAGGGTTCTTCTTTGGAAAACACACCACGAGCCATACTTATAATTTAGGTGGACTATTTTAAAACAGGCCTGGGTTCCCCGCCTTCCCGGTTTTGCAAAAATCGCAGAGCTTTTTTTTTTTTTTTTTTTTTTTTTTTTTTTTCTGGAATGTCGTCCCTGTCACCCAGGCTGGAGTGCAATGGATGGATCTCGGCTCACTGCAACCTCCGCCTCCCGGGTTCAAGCGATTCTCCTGCCTCAGCCTCCTGAGTAGCTGGCACCAGCCACCAAGCCCAGCTAATTTTTTTTGCATTTTTAGTAGAGACGGGGTTTCACTATGCTGGCCAGGCTGGTCTCGAACTCCTGACCTCAGGCAATCCACCCGTCTCGGCCTCCCAAAGTGCTGTGATGACGGGCCTGAGCCACCGTGCCCGGCCAATCACAGAGCTTTCAACGGCCCTCTTTCCTCACAAATTGACCCTGTTTGTTGAGGGACACTCTGAGCCTCCCCCACAGGGGCTGGGATGTGTGTCTTCCCATCCATGACATTCAGGAAGCAGAATGTCTCCCCTTATCCTCCACCTACGGACGTTTCCAGGTACCTGCCTCTCGCACGGTCAAATATGTAAACAGCCACCTACGTTCCGAGTTCCTGTCTGGGAATAGAAGGCAGGTGCAGCACGTTGGCCCTGGATGTCTGAAAAATGCAAATTGATGTTTTGCCAACAGTTGGACGCTTTGATATAAGCCTGTAACCTGGGATGAGGGGAGCCGGGAAGAGGGAGAACATGGTAAAAGTCATTTAGACTTGCTACGGGCTGCAGGATGCCTCCGAATTCTAGGACAAGACCAGGCACGTTGGCTCACACCTGTAATCCCATCACTCTGGGAGGCCGCCGTGGGAGGATTGCTTGAGGCTAGGAGTTCAAGACCAGCCTGGGCAACATACCATGACCCTGTGTCTACAAAAATTAAAATGAAAATTATTCAAGCGTGGTGGCACACGCACCTGTATTTCCAGCTACTCAGGAGGCTGAGCTGAAAGGATAGCTTAAGCCCAAGAGTTTGAGGCTGCAGTGACCTATGACTGGACTACGGCACTCCAGCCTGGGCAACAGAGCAAGACCCTGTATCTATTGAAAAAAAAAAAAAAAAAAAAAAAGCCAGGTGCCGTGGCTCACACTTGTAATCCCAACACTTCGGGAGGCCAAAGCAAGCAGATCTCTTCAGGTCAGGAGTTCGAGACCAGCCTGGCCAACATGGTGAAACCCCTTGTCTACTAAAAATACAAAAAGAGCCAGGCGTGGTGGTGGGCACCTGTTATCCCAGCTACTCGGGAGGCCGAGGCAGGAGAATGACGTGAACCCGGGAGGCGGAGGTGAGCTGAGATCGCACCACTGCACTCCACTTTGTCTCCAAAAATAAAACACAAAGACTCTTTCTCTCTTATCCTGGCACAGTCTGGGAGTGTCTTGCCGCTTGCCAGCTTGGGATCTTTCTTTCTTTCTTCCTTTCTTTCTTTCTTTCTTTCTTTCTTTCTTTCTTTCTTTCTTTCTTTCTTTCTTTCTTTCTCTTTCTTTCTTTCTTTCTTTCTCTTTCCTCTCTCTTTTTGTTTCTTTCTTTCCTCTCTCTCTTTTCTTTCTTTTTTCTTCTTCCTTCCTTTCTCTTTCTTTCTTTCTTTTCTTTCTTTCTTTCTTTTCTTTCTTTCTTTTTGTTTCTTTCTTTCTCTTTCTTTCTTTCTTTCTCTTTCCTCTCTCTTTTTGTTTCTTTCTTTCCTCTCTCTTTTCTTTCTTTTTTCTTCTTCCTTCCTTTCTTTCTTTCTTCTTTCTTTCTCTTTCCCCTTTCTGTTTCTTTCTTTCCTCTCTCTCTTTTCTTTCTTTCTTTCTTTCTCTTTCCTCTCTCTCTTTCTCTTTCTTTCCTTTCTCTCTCTTTCTTTCTTTCCTTCCTTCTTTCTTTCTTCAAGACCAACCTGGACAGCATAGCAAGACCCTATCTCTACAAAAAGTTTAAAAATTACCTGGGCATGCTGGTGCATGCGTGTAGTCCCAGCTACTCGGGAGGTTGAGGTGGATCGCTTGAACCCGGGAAGTTGAGGCTGCAGAGCAAGACTCTGTCTCTTAGAGGAAAAAAAATCTTCTGATGTGTGAAAATAATACTGTATTATGAAAGAAGACTTATTTTCAGAATATGAGTGCTACTGTAGGGTGGGTAAAATGTTGTATATACAACTTACTTAGAAAACCTGTTTTTGGCCGGGCACGGTGGCTCATGCCTGTAATCCCAGCACTTTGGGAGGCCGAGGTGGGTGGATCACCTGAGGTCAGGAGTTCGAGACCAGCCTGGCCAACACGGTGAAACCCAGTCTCTACTAAAAATACAAAAATTGGCTGGGCTTGGTCGCGTGCACCTGTAATCCCAGCTACTCAGGAGGCTGAGGCAGGAGAATCGCTTGAACCCGGGAGGTGGAGGTTGCAGTGAGCTGAGATCACGCCACTGCACTCCAGCCTGGGTGACAGAGTGAGACTCCATAAAAGAAAGAAAGAAAGAAAGAAAGAAAGAAAGAAAGAAAGAAAGAAAGAAAGAAAGAAAGAAAGAAAGAGAAAGAAAGGAAAGAGAGAGAAGGAGAGAAAGAGAAAAAAGAAAGAAAGAGAAAGAAAAGAAATATGTTTTTTTAAAAAATATTTGTTTAATATATGTCTCTTATTCATGTATATAGATAGGTATATTTAATATCATTTCAATGGGTAAATAAATTAGTTGTTTATATATTTAGCTCATTTATTTATATGGGCATATAGGTGGATACACACACAACATATATATATATATAAATGGCACAATGCTGGCCAGGGACAGTGGCTCACATCTGTAATCCCAGCACATTGGGAGGCCGAGGCGGTAGGATCAACTGAGGTCAGGAGTTCGAGACCAGCCTGGCCAACATGGAGAAACCCCGTCTCTACTAAAAATACAAAAATTAGCCAGGCACGGTGCCAGGTGCCTGTAATCCCAGCTAGTAGGGAGGCTGAGGCAGGAGAATCACTTGAACCTGGGAGGTGGAGGCAGGAGAATCAGTTGAACCCTGGAGGTGGAGGTTGCAGTGAGCCGGGATCGTGCCACTGAACTCCAGTCTGGGCAACAAAGCAAGACTCCACCTCAAAAAAAAAAAAAGGCACAATGCTAGCCAGGCACAGTGGCTCATGTCTGTAATCCCAGCATGTTGGGAGGCTGAGGCAGGAGGATCCCTTGAGCCCAGGGGTTCGAGACCAGCCTGGGCAACATGGTGGAAACCTGTCTTAAAATGACAATAAAAAAACAGAATAAACTGGCAAAATGCTGATTATTGATGCCAAGTGGTGGGTTTATGGGAGTTCTTGTTAGCATTCTTTTGGCTTTTATATATGGCCGGGTGGTTTTTAAAAATAATACCAATTTCGGCCGGGCATGGCGGCTCACGCCTGTAATCCCAGCATTTTGGGAGGCCGAGGTGGGTGGATCACCGGAGGTCAGGAGTTCGAGACCAGCCTTGCCAATGTGGTGAAACCCCGGCTCTACTAAAAATACTGAATAATAAAAATACTAAGAATACTAAAAAATAAAAATACTAAATAATAAAAATTAGCCGGGCATGGTGGCGGGCGTCTGTAGTCTCAGCTACTCGGGAAGCTGAGGCAGGAGAATCGCTTGAACCTGGGAGGTGGAGGTTGCAGTGAGCCGAGATCGCACCGTTGCACTCCAGCCTGGGTGACAAGAGTGAAACTCCATCTCAAATAATAATAATAATAATAATGCCAATTGAAAGTTAAAAGGCTCTGGAGGCTGAGGCAGGAGAATCTCTTGATCCTGGGAGGCAGAGGTTGCAGTGAGCCAACATTGTGCCATTGCACTCCAGCCTGGGTGACAAGAGTGAAACTCCATCTCAAATAATAATAATAATAATAATAATAATAATAATAATAATAATACCAATTGAAAGTTAAAAGTTTCTGGAGGCTGAGGCAGGAGAATCGCTTGAATGAGGGAGGCAGAGGTTGCAGCGAGCTAACATTGTGCCATTGCACTCCAGCCTGAGTGACAAGAGTGAAACTCCGTCTCAAATAACAATAATAATAATAATAATAATAATAATAATACCAATTGAAAGTTAAAAGGCTCTGGAGGCTGAGGCAGGAGAATCTCTTGATCCCGGGAGGCAGAGGTTGCAGCGAGCCAACATTGTGCCATTGCACTCCAGCCTGGGCAACAAGATTGAAACTCCATCTCAAATAATAATAATAATAATAATATCAATTGAAAGTTAAAAGTTTCTGGAGGCTGAGGCAGGAGAATCTCTTGAACCTGGGAGGTGGAGGTTGCAGTGAGCCGAGATCACGCCATTGCAATGAGTCAAAATTGTGCCATTGCAACCAGCCTGGGTGACAAGAGTGAAACTCTGTCTCAAATAATAATAATAATAATAATAATAATAATAATATCAATTGAAAGTTAAAAGTTTCTGGAGGCTGAGGCAGGAGAATCGCTTGAATGAGGGAGGCAGAGGTTGCAGCGAGCCAACATTGTGCCATTGCACTCCAGCCTGGGTGACAAGAGGGAAACTCCGTCTCAAATAATAAGAATACCAATTTAAAGTTAAAAGAATCAGAGCTAATTCTGATACTCAGACAAGTTAAGGGCAAACACTGACAGCAAAAGCATGCTGGGGACACATTCCTGCTAGTCCCAGGTCCACCAGGCACTTGTACAAGTGGGGGACAGTGGGGTGGGGGGCCAGAGGGGGTCTCACCTGCGTCAGCCCTACCCCGGTGTCTCGTCCAAGAACGCTTGCCTGGTACACAACCCCCATCTTCCCCACTGTCATTTATGTCATGACTCTGTTCTAAATTTAATTTAATTTTCATTTCTTGCCCTCAGAGGAGCTGAGAGCAGCTGGTCCCATTGAGCTGTTGGTCCTGAAGCCCTCAGGACTGTTATTAAATTGCAAATCACACCCCAATTGCTATGCAAACAGCCTGGGTGCCCCTCGCTGTGTTACACACCTGGGCAGAGGCCTGGGGGCAGAAACCCAGTCTCCAGGGCTCCCTGCAGAGCCACACTCACGGCCGCCTTTTCACCCCGGGAGGGAAACTGCCCGTGATTCCAGCTGTAAATGCCAGTGGAAAAGGAATGCAGCATCACGAGAGACTGTGGAATCAAAATGCCTCTTAAAGAAATCAAAAAGTGGCCACTGGAGGATGGTCATCTTGGAGGGCTTTTAAAAGTCCTGCCTCTCACAGTGACGACACTTTGCTGCTACAAGATCCATGGGAGAGCCTCAGCCAGGTCCTGACGGAGAGGCAATACTCACACCCGGGGGAGGCTCACGCCAGCAAAACCGAAGGCGCGGGCAAAAGTAAGAGGAGTCAGACAGCTTAAAAAAGGAGGGAATAAAATTAAACGTGAGAATGCCACTAGAAGGCAAAGGACTGCTGAAAGTTATCTCCGTATACATGCGCACACACACCCACTAACACACATGCACACACACATTGCACACACGTGCACACACATATACATACCCACAGATATGCACACATAACATATGCATAAGGACTGCTGAAAATTATCTCGGTATACATGCAAACACACACACATATATATACACACATGCACACACACATATACACACGTGCACACACACATTGCACACAATGCACACACTTATATACATACACACAAATATGCACACACATATACATACATATGCACACATGACATATGCATAAGGACTGCTGAAAGTTATCTCAGTATACACGCACACACACACATATATACACACATGCACACACATATACACACGTGCACACACATACACATACACACATGCACACACATATACACACGTGCACACACATACACATACACACATGCACACACACATATACACACGTACACACACATATATACACACATGCACACACACATACATACACACAGATATGCACACATAACATGCATAAGGACTGCTGAAAGTTATCTCGGTATACACACACACTATACACACATGCACACACACACATATACACATACGTGCACACACATACATACACACGGATATGCACACATGACATATGCATAAGGACTGCTGAAAGCTATCTCGGTATACACACACACTATACACACATGCACACACACACATACACATACGTGCACACACACTATACACACATGCACACACATACACACATGCATACACATATACATACACACAGATATGCACACACATACACATACACACATATGCACACATAACATGCATAAGGACTGCTGAAAGTTATCTTGGTATACATGCAAACACACACACTATACACACATGCACACACACATATTTACACAATGCACACACATATATACATACACACAGATATGCACACATAACATATGCATATACATACGTTATAACACATACATACATATATACACACATACACACATATACACACATTATACACACATGCACACATATACATACACAGATATGCATGCATAACAAATATATGCAGAAACACATATACATACACACGTTATAAATGCATACACATACATACACACATATACACATACATGCACACATATACACATACATACAGACATATACACATGCACACACAAATACATACATGTGCACACATATATACGCGCATAGGCCTATACACATACATGCATATTCACACATATATACACATACATACGTACACCTACAGACACATATAGGCGCATGCCTGCACACATACATGTACATTCACACACATATATGTCAGGCCTCTGAGCCCAAGCGAAGCCATCATATGCCCTGTGACCTGCACATATACATCCAGATGGCCTGAAGTAACCGAAAAATCACGAAAGAAGTGAAAATGGCTTGTTCCTGCCTTAAGCGATGACTTTACCTTGTGAAATTCCCTCTCCTGGCTCATCCTGGCTCAATGAGCACCTTGTGTCACCTGCCCCCTGCCAGCCAGAGAACAACCCCCTTTGATTGTAATTTTCCACTATGTACCCAAATCCTATAAAACGGCCCCGCCCGTATCTCCCTGCAGTGACTCTCTTTTCGGACTCAGCCCGCCTGCACCCAGGTGATTAAAAAGTTTTATTGCTCACATGAAGTCTGTTTCGTGGTCTCTTCACACGGACACGTGTGACAATATACACATGAGATGGCTTCTCTACCCATTACGCTTTCATTAAACACCTGGCACTTACAAATATTTAGGAACACCTGTAATCTCAGCACCTTGGGAGGGCGAGGTGGGTGGATCACGAGGTCAGGAGATCGAGACCAGCCTGGCTAACACGGTGAAACCCCGTCTCTACTAAAAATACCAAAAAATTAGCCGGGCGTGGTGGCGGGCGCCTGTAGTCCCAGCTACTCGGGAGGCTGAGGCAGGAGAATGGCGTGAACCCGGGAGACAGAGCTTGCAGTGAGCCGAGATGGCACCAACTGCACTCCAGCCTGGGCAACAGAGCGAGACTCCGTCTCAAAAAAAAAAAAAAAAAATTAAGAATAATCATTGTGAGCTGCTGAGAACCCTGGTTCAGCTCGATGAAGACAGAAGCCTTGGCAAGTTTGCAAGACACGTCCAGGCGCAAACAAAAACATCTCCATCCAGGTTGGGTGCAGTGACTCACACCTGAAATCCCAGCACTTCAGGAGGCCAAGGCAGGAGAATCGCTTGAGCCCAGGACTTTGAGACCAGAGTGGGTCACACGGTGAAAGCTTGTCTCTACAAAAACAAAGAAAAAAAAAAATTAGCCGGGCATGGTGGTGCACTCCTGTAGTCCCAGCTACTCAGGAGGCTGAGGTGGGAGGATTGCTAGAGCCCAGGAGGTTGAGGCTGCAGTGAGCTGTGATTGCACCACTGCACTCCAGTCTGGGTGACAGAGTGAGACCCTGTCTCCAAAAAAAAAAAAAAAAAAAACAGAGAAAGAGAGAGAAGAAAGGACAGAGACAGAGGGAAGGAAGGAAAGAAGGAAGGAAGGGAGGGAGGGAAAGAAGGAAGGAAGAAATGAAGGAACGAAAGAAGGAAGGAAGGGGAAGGAAAGGGAAGGGAAGGAAGAGAAAGAAGGAAAGAAGGAAAGGGAAGGGAGGGAAGGGAAGGAAGAGGGAAGGAAGGAAGGGAAGGAAGGGAGGGAGGGAGGGAGGAAGAGAGAAAGGAAAGAAAGAAAGAAAGAAAGAAAGAAAGAAAGAAAGAAAGAAGAAAGAAGAGAAGGAAAGAAGAGAAAAAGGAAGGAAGGATGGAGGGAGGGAGGGAAGGAAGAAAAGGAATAAGGAAGGAAAGAGAGAGAAGAAAGAAAAAGAGAAAGGAAGGAAAGAGGAAGGAAGATGAGGAATAAGGAAGGAAAGAGAGAGAGAAGAAAGAAAAAGAGAAAGAAAGGAAAGAGGAAGGAAGATGAGGAATAAGGAAGGAAAGAGAGAGAGAAGAAAGAAAAAGAGAAAGGAAGGAAAGAGGAAGGAAGATGAGGAATAAGGAAGGAAAGAGAGAGAGAAGAAAGAAAAAGAGAAAGAAAGGAAAGAGGAAGGAAGATGAGGAATAAGGAAGGAAAGAGAGAGAGAAGAAAGAAAAAGAGAAAGGAAGGAAAGAGGAAGGAAAGAAAAAGAGAAAGGAAGGAAAGAGGAAGGAAGATGAGGAATAAGGAAGGAAAGAGAGAGAGAAGAAAGAAAAAGAGAAAGGAAGGAAAGAGGAAGGAAGATGAGGAATAAGGAAGGAAAGAGAGAGAGAAGAAAGAAAAAGAGAAAGGAAGGAAAGAGGAAGGAAGATGAGGAATAAGGAAGGAAAGAGAGAGAGAAGAAAGAAAAAGAGAAAGGAAGGAAAGAGGAAGGAAGATGAGGAATAAGGAAGGAAAGAGAGAGAGAAGAAAGAAAAAGAGAAAGGAAGGAAAGAGGAAGGAAGATGAGGAATAAGGAAGGAAAGAGAGAGAGAAGAAAGAAAAAGAGAAAGGAAGGAAAGAGGAAGGAAGATGAGGAATAAGGAAGGAAAGAGAGAGAGAAGAAAGAAAAAGAGAAAGGAAGGAAAGAGGAAGGAAGATGAGGAATAAGGAAGGAAAGAGAGAGAGAAGAAAGAAAAAGAGAAAGGAAGGAAAGAGGAAGGAAGATGAGGAATAAGGAAGGAAAGAGAGAGAGAAGAAAGAAAAAGAGAAAGGAAGGAAAGAGGAAGGAAGATGAGGAATAAGGAAGGAAAGAGAGAGAAGAAAGAAAAAGAGAAAGAAAGGAAAGAGGAAGGAAGATGAGGAATAAGGAAGGAAAGAGAGAGAAGAAAGAAAAAGAGAAAGAAAGGAAAGAGAAAGGAAGATGAGGAATAAGGAAGGAAAGAGAGAGAAGAAAGAAAAAGAGAAAGAAAGGAAAGAGGAAGGAAGATGAGGAATAAGGAAGGAAAGAGAGAGAAGAAAGAAAAAGAGAAAGAAAGGAAAGAGGAAGGAAGATGAGGAATAAGGAAGGAAAGAGAGAGAGAAGAAAGAAAAAGAGAAAGGAAGGAAAGAGGAAGGAAGGAAGGGAAGGAAGGAAAGAAGGAAAGGGAAGGGAGGGAAGGGAAGGAAGAAAAGGAATAAGGAAGGAGAGAGATAAGAAAGAAAGAAAGAAGAAAGAAAAAGAAGAAGGAAAGAAAGAAAGGAAGAAAGAAGGAAAGAAAGAAAGAAAGAGGGAGGGAGGAAGGAAGGAATTCATTCTCCATATAGTCTCCACAGTATCCAGGAGAAGCGTTTCTCCAGCAGCCAGCTGGGCTAAACTTGCTCCAGTGAAATTTTGGAATTTCTCTCCGCCACTGAGCACACCTTCGTTTTCTCTCCCATCGCTCTCCTTCCTGCACCTCTCTGCGGCTGCCCCAGCTGCAAGGTCAAGCTGCAGACACACCTGTTACCCATCATGACAAGTCGCAGAGTGTGGTCGGCGCCAGAGGGACAGTATCCCATTGCCTGAGGGGATGCTCTCCGTTTTCTGCAAAGATGTCAGACAAAAATCAGGACTATCAACGCGTGCTCCGAAGCCCTGGGTTGCACTGTGGCCTGCAGGACAGAAGGAACCACACCTACTGGGGAAAGAGACCCAGGAAGGTGGCAAGTGGACAGAAGGGAGCAGGGCTGTTCCTCCTGGAAAGCCAAGAATCCCAGCCCTCGTCCCCAGTCCTCTCTGCACTCCCCAGCCCTCTGCGGCCCAACGCCAGTTCAAACCAACTGTCACCTCTCTTATGAAGATACAAGCTGGCTCGCCTTCCTCACCGAGCCGACACGGCCTCGTAGACTTTGATCTAATTCTGTTTGCTGTCTTATGATGCATGAACGCTGTCAGATAAAGAGATGTTGAAAAAGGCCCTCCTGAGCTGTCAGGGCTGACAATGCCGCGTGATGGATGATGATGCAGAAAACAAACAAACAGTCCTTCCCTGACGGGGAAAAGGGTGCAGGCCACACACGAGGCCGATCCCACGGCCCGTACTGCAGTCCGAGTTTTTTGCAAGGACCAGGTCCCCTTGCCTGTTGAGCCCTCTTCTGATCAAAGACTCCGCCGTCCCCCCACCCCTGCTGTCTTACCGGTGAAGGCTTCAGAGTTGAGTAAGTGTCTGGGGAGGCAGCACCTGTGGACGTGAACATCAGCCTCCAAGGTGGACATTCCCTATTTTGGTTTATTTTTGTCTCTTCCTTCCTTCCTTCCTCTTTCCTTCCTTCCTTCTTTCCTTCCTTCCTTCGTTCCTTTTCTTTCTTTAAGTTTTTTATTTAGATATAATTGACATAGCATAAAATTCCCCATCTGAGGCCAGGAGTGGTGGCTCACGCCTGTAATCCCAGCACTTTGGGAGGCCGAGGCGGGTGGATCATCTGAGGTCAGGAGTTCGAGACCAGCCCGGCCAACATGGTGAAACCCCGTCTCTACTAAAAACACAAAAATTAGCTGGGTGTGGTGGTGGGCGCCTCTAATCCCAGCTACTAGGGAGGCTGAGGCAGGAAAATCACTTCAACTCGGGAGGTGGAGGTTGCAGTGAGCTCAGATCGCTCCCCTGCACTCCAGCCTGGGCAACAAGAGTGAAACTCCGTCTCAAAAAAAAAAAAAAATAATAACCCCATTTGAATGATTTTTAATGCTCTGCAATCACCGCCTCTATTTAGTTCCAGAACATTTTTATCACTCCAAAAAGAGACCCTGTATGCAGGCAGCAGTGAGTCCCCAGCCCCTCCCCGGCCCCTGGTAACCACAAATCCACTTTCTGTCTCTGTGGGTTTGCCTGTTCTGGGCATTTTATATAAATGGAATCCTGCGTGATATGGCCTTTTGTGTCTGGCTTCTCTCACTGAGCGTGATGTCCTTGAGGTCCACCCACACTGCAGCCTGTCTCAGAGTTAGCTTCCTTCCTTTTCATGGGTGTATAATATTCCACTGCATGGATGGACCACATTGCATTTATATAACGGAATCCTACACAACGTGGCCTTTTGTGTCTGGCTTCTGTCACTGAGCGTGATGTCTTCCAGGTCCATCCACACTGCAGCCTGTGTCAGAGCTAGCTTCTTTCCTTTTCGTGGGTGTATAATATTCCACTGCATGGATGGACCACATTGCGTTTATCCATCAACAGACCCTTGGTTTTTTTCCATCTTTTGGCTACCGTCAAACTTGCTGCTGTGAACACTGTCCTACAGTCCTTGTTTGACTCTCCTTTGGTTTTTTTTTTTGAGATGGAGTCTCGCTCTGTCGCCCAGGCTGGAGGGCAGTGGCACACCCTCAGCTCACTGCAACCTCCGCCTCCCGGGTTCATGCTATTCTCCTGCCTCAGCCTCCCGAGTAGCTGGGACTACAGGCGCCCACCACCGTGCCCGGCTAATTTTTTGTATTTTTAGTAGAGACAGGGTTTCTCCATGTTAGCCAGGATGGTCTCGATCTCCTGACCTCGTGATCCACCCGTCTCGGCCTCCCAAAGTGCTGGGATCACAGGCGTGAAACACCGCGCCCGGCCTTGAGTCCCTTTTAAAAATTCTTTTGGGTACACATGTAAGAGTGGCATTCTGGTGATACGGCACCCGTACGTTAAAACTTTAGCAAATCCCGTAAGTTCTTCCTCATTTTTGTCTGTGTTTGTGGATTGGTTTCCACAGACACGTTCCAATTCTAAATGGAGGTACGATCATGGACGCAAACTGGAAAATGCAGAAATGCATAAAACAAAGATGATCGGCCGGGCACGGTGGCTCACACCTGTCATCCCAGCACTTTGGGAGGCCGAGGCGGGTGGATCACCTGAGGTCAGGAGTTCGAGACCAGCCTGGCCAACATGGAGAAACCTCGTCTCTACTAAAAAAAAAAATACAAAATTAGCTGGGCGTGGTGGTGCACACCTGCAATCCCAGCTACTCGGGAGGCTGAAGCAGGAGAATCGCTTGAACCCGAGAGGCGGAGGTGGCAGTGAGCCGAGATTGTGCCATTGCACTCCAGCCTGGGTGACAAGAGCGAAACTCTGTCTCGAAAAAAAAAGAAAAAAAAAACAAACAAAGATGATCTTCATTGTGACCCTCATGGAAAGAATCATGATCACCCCATATTATCTCTGCATGGATGCACCCAGCATGGACCCCTTCCCCTGCCCCAGGCTGCACCCTCCCTTCAGGTCAGGGCCAACCCACCTTTCTCCAGGAAGCCTCATCCATCTCTCCGAGACCCCCGCCCTTCTAAGGAATTGGCCCCCATCCAACAGCCGGAAGGAAGATGGCACCTGGTGGACAGCAAACGCTTTGATGAATACGTGAAGGAACTAGGAGTCTGAATCGCTTTGGGAAAAACGGACTCAATGGCCGAACCAGATTGTATCGTGACTTGTGATGGCAAAAGTCTCACCAGAAAAACTGAGGGCACTTTGAGAAGACAGTGTTCCTGTACCCTGGGAGAGAAGTTTGAAGAAACCACAAGTGAGGACAGAAAAACTCAGACTAACAAGAAAACCAAAAGATGGGAAATTAGTGTCGGACTGTGTGATGAGCAAAGTCACCTCTACTCACATCTATGAACAAGTAGAATCAAAATCCCAGCATCATGGTCAGGTGCGGTGGCTCAGGCCTGTCATCCCAGCACTTTGGGAGGCTGAGGTGGGCAAATCATGAGATCAGGAGTTTGAGAGCAGCCTGACCAACATGGTGAAACCCCGTCTCTGCTAAGAATACAAAAATGAGCCGGGTGTGGTGGCGGGCGCCTGTAGTCCCAGCTACTCGGGAGGCTGAGGCAGGAGAGGTGGAGGTTGCAGTGAGCCGAGATCCTGCCATTGCACTCCAGCCTGGGCAACAGAGTGAGACTCCATCTCAAAAAAATAAATAAATAAAATAAAATAAAATAAATAAAAATCGCATCATTACTTTGGACAGGAATTAACTACGAGAATAAACATGCTCAGTCCAATGAAGCAAATCTGCATAGTGCTTCTTTTTTCATTACTGTGTTCAATTATCTTTATCACAACCATTTTCCATGCAGCTATTTCAAAGTGTTGGATTAATTAGGATCATCCCTTTGGTTAATAAATAAATGTGTGGCCAGGCACGGTGGCTCACGCCTGTAATCCCAGCACTTTGGGAGGCCAAGGCTGGAGAATCACGAGATCAGGAGTTCGAGACCAGCCTGACCAAGATGGTGAGACCCCGTCTCTACTAAAAATACAAAAGTTAGCCAGGTGTGGTGGTGCATACCTGTAATCCCAGCTACTCGGGAGGCTGAGGCAGGAGAATCGCTTGAACCCGGGACACAGAGGTTGCAGTGAGCTGAGATCGTGCCACTGCACTCCAGCCTGGGGACAGAGCGAGATTCATCTCAAAAATAATTATTTACTTATTTACAAAAATAAGTAAATAATAAATAAATGTGTTTATTTATTATTAAAAGTAAATAAATAAATGTGTTTGTGCCAAAAAGAAGAGAAAGAAAACAGAAAGGAAGGAAGGAAGGAAAGAAAGAAAGAAAGTTTTTCTGAAAGAAAGAAAGAAAGAAAGAAAGAAGAAAGAAAGAAGGGAAGAAAGAAGGGAAGAAAGGAAGGAAGGAAAAAAGAAAGGAAGGAAGAAAGGAAAAAGAAAGAAAAGAAAGAAAGAAAGAGAAAGCAAGCAAGCAAGAAAGAAAGAAAGAAAAAAGAGAAAGAAAGAAAGAAGGGAAGAAAGGAAGGAAGGAAAAAAGGAAGGAAGAAAGGAAAAAGAAAGAAAGAGAAAGAAAGAAAAGAAAGAGAAAGCAAGCAAGAAAGAAAGAAAGAAAAAAGAGAAAGAAAGGAAAGAAAGAAAGAAAGAAAGAAAGGAAAGAAAGAAAGAGAAAGAAAGAGAAAGCAAGCAAGAAAGAAAGAAAAAAGAGAAAGAAAGAAAGAAAGAAAAGAAAGAAAGAGAAAGAAAGAAAAGAAAGAAAGAGAAAGAAAAGAAAGAAAAAGAAAGAAAGAGAAAGCAAGAAAGAAAGAAAGAAAGAAAAAAGAGAAAGAAAGGAAAGAAAGAAAGAAAGAAAGAAAGAAAGAGAAAGAAAGAAAAGAAAGAAAGAGAAAGAAAGAAAAGAAAGAAAGAGAAAGAAAGAAAGAAAGAAAGAAAGAAAGAAAGAAAGAAAGAAAGAAAGAAAGAAAGGAAAGAAGGAAAAGAAAAGAAAGAAAGACAGACTTTTGCTAAGCCTGGCTGTTTGGATCCAGGTGTTCAACCTGCTCCTTCCCCAGATCTCACTGAGATGGGAGCAAAGAAATGAACCCACCAGGACCAGAGGAGCTGCAGAGAATAAAACAGCCAAGCAGGCTGTGCAGTGGTGCGATCTCTGCTAACTGCAACCTCCACCTCCTGGGCTCAAGCAATTCACATGCCTCAGCCTCCTGAGTAGCTGGGATTACAGGCATGCACCACCACACCTGGCTGATGTTTTGTATTTTAGTAGAGATGGGGTTTCACCATGTTGCCCAGACTGGTCTACAACCCCTGAACACTCATCTCAGCCTCCCAAAGTGCTGGGATGACAGGCATGAGCCATCAAGCTCGACCTAAAATGACTTTCTCCTATGGAATGAGGGTGATTATCCCTGGAGGTATGTTTTCTTTTCCTCTTATGGCAAAATAGAACCTCACTCACAATCCTACTTTGCTCTCTCATTCAAAATAAAAAATTGAGCTGGGTGTGATGGCTGATGCCTGTCATCCCAGCACTTTAGGAGGCCGAGGCAGGCGGATCATGAGGTCAGGAGATCGAGACCATCCTGGCTAACACAGTGAAACCCCGTCTCTACTAAAAATACAAAAAATTAGTCAGGCGTGGTGGTGGGTGCCTGTGGTCCCAGCTACTTGGGAGGCTGAGGCAGGAGGATTCCCTTGAGCCCAGGGGGTTGAGGCTGCCATGAGCTTTGATTGTACCACTGCACTCCAGCCTGAGAAACAGAGCAAGACTTTGTCTCTAAAAAATAAATAAATAGTCCATGAAATAAAATAAAAAACTCATAATTTCTCTATGTCTAGTTGCCCAGGCATGTCTGTTCTGGATAAGAATGGCCCCAGAGCTCCACTGCCAAAGAGGGCTTGTTCCTGGAAGAGAGAATTCTTGCAGAAAGATGAGGAAAAAAATGCAACAGAAAGGGAAGGTGCTCTGCCAGTTGGAGAAGAAAGGACAGTTGATAAATTTATTTTTATTTATTTTTTAAATTATACTTTACGTTCTGGGTACATGTGGAGAACGGGCAGGTTTGTTACGTAGGTGTACACGTGCCATGGTGGTTTGCTGCACCCATCAACCCGTCATCTACATTAGGTATTTGTCCTAATGCTCTCCCTCCCCTAGCTCCCCCAGCCCCCGACAGGCCCTGGTGTGTGATGTTCCCCTCCCTGTGTCCATGTGTTCTCATTGTTCAACTCCCACTTATGAAGGAGAACATGCAGTGTTTGGTTTTCTGTCCTTGCGACAGTTTGCTGACAATGGTGGTTTCCAGCTTCATCCATGTCCCTGCAAAGGACATGAACTCATCCTTTTTGATGGCTGCATAGTATTCCATGGTGTGTATGTGCCACATTTTCTTCATCCAGTCTATCGCTGATGGACATTTGGGTTGGTTCCAAGTCTTTGCTATTGTGAATAGTGCTGCAATAAACATACGTGTGCATGTGTCTTTATAGCAGCATGATTTATACTCCTTTGGGTATATACCCAGTAATGGGATGGCTGGGTCAAATGGTATTTCTGGTTCTAGATCCCTGAGGAATCGCCACACTGTCTTCCACAATGGTTGAACTAGTTTACAGTCCCACCAACGGTGTAAAAGCGTTCCTATTTCTCCACATCCTCTCCAGCACCTGTTGTTTCCCCACTTTTTACTGATCGTATTCTAACTGGCGTGAGATGGTATCTCATCGTGGTTTTGATTTGCATTTCTCTGATGGCCAGTGATGGTGAGCATTTTTTTTATAGGTTTGTTGGCTGCATAAATGTCTTCTTTTGAGAAGTGTCTGTTCATATCCTTTGCCCACTTTTTGATGGGTTGTTTTTTTTCTTGTCAATTTGTTTAAGTTCTTTAAGTTTAAGATATTTCTACTTATTTGTGTTTAGACTCTCATTGTCAATCACAGCCACACTGAGATAAATTCTGTCCAGAAAAATCCAGGTCCGCAAATGTCCCATAATATCGGGGGAGGCCTGAGGAAAGGTACTCCTAAAGAAAAAGAAACCTCCCATACTTCGTCAACCAGGGAAGACACTGACTTCCTTTTCCCTTCCCTTTGAGCTCTGGAAATGCCTCATTTTCAGAAGAGCGATTCCTTTCTCAGCCCACCGTCTCTGGTTCATGTCAGCTGAGGTGAAATCAAAACCTCCAGATCCCAAGGCTAAACCCACAAGTCAAAACATCCTGTGTGTGGGTGCGTGTCCAAGCTATTCATCAAGCCAATTTGAGGACTTTGCACAGAGTTTAAAAGGTGTCCTGCTTTTGATAAGGCAGAATTGTTTGCACGTCGTACCAATTCCTCAGCGGCAAAAAAGTGCAAATTGGCTGGCCGGAGCCGGGGGCTTCAGGGAGGCATATGATACCACTTAGGTTGGCATGAAAGCCATCTGTGTTCATATCACATGTTTTTGAGCAAAGAATGTGAGGTTACCAAAGGTCAGAGTCACGCTGGCTTTAAAAAAAAAAAGGGGGGGCGGGTAGGGAGGTGTAGCCTGGAATACATAGAAACACTCACCAAGAATTTTTCTAATTTATTTTCTAATAACAGAACGTGGCTGGAAAGTCATCTTCCAAGGTGTTACAAGAATGCATGAGATAGTTCAGTCTTTGTGCCTAAAAAAAAAAAATTATTCAGCTTTTCCAACACCATTGGAGTTTCACCCTCCTGAGCTGCCGGCCATCCAGACTGGGTAGATTTCTCAGGATTCTTGTTCAAAAGTGGCCAGGTGACCCTTCTGAATCCCTCTGTCACCTGCAAATAAGAATCTTTTTTTTTTTTTTTTTTTTTTTTGAGACAGAGTCTCGCACTGTCACCCAGGCTGGAGTGCAGTGGCACGATCTCGGCTCACCGCAAGCTCCGCCTCCCGGGTTCAAGTGATCCTCCTGCCTCAGCCTCCCGAATACCTGGGACTACAGGCGCCCGCCACCACCACGCCCGGCTAATTTTTGTATTTTTAGTAGAGACGGGGTTTCACCGTGTGAGCCAGGATGGTCTCGATCTCCTGACCTCGTGATCCACCCGCCTCAGCCTCCCAAAGTGCTGGGATAACAGGCGTGAGTTCAAGAGCAGCCTGGCCAACATAGTGAAACCCTGTCTCCACTGAAAATACAACAATTAGCCGGGCATGGTGGCGGGCACCTGTAATCTCAGCTACTAATGTAGATGACGGGTGGATGGGTGCAGCCAACCACCGTGGCACGTGTATATACCTATGTAACAAACCTGCACGTTCTGCATATGTATCCCAGAACTTAAAGTAAAATTAAAAAAAAAAAAAAGAAACAAAAACTAATAACATACCAGGGAAAAACGAATAAAGGGAGTGTGGTCCTTTCTCTAAGAGAGTATTACCATGTTACAAAAAACACATGGCACATGTATACATATGTAAGAAACCTGCACGTTGTGCACATGTACCCTAAAACTTAAAATATAATAATAATAAAATTTAAAAAAAATGATCAAGTTTATATTCCAAAAAAAAAAAAAAAGCCTTCTTCTATTTATGGCATTGTAATTCTCCCTTATCTGATATTATTCCTTGTCTCTGGCCAGGATCGTTTGCATAATGGACCATCGTTGAAAAACGCAGGAGAGGAAGACAGATGGGCCCGTCGGCCACAGATATTGTGACTCGCCCGTCCCTGGGGAGGTCCCGGGACTCCGCCATGGAGACAGAAAAATGGAAAAGGGAGAATCAAACTTAAAAAAATACAACGAAACACCAAAGCACCTTATATCGAACAAAATACATTGTTAGAGGTGAACAAAGACAGCAAGATGGAGAAAGCGTACATACATCAAAACTTTAAAAGAGATAAACCCCAAAGAGAGAAACTCATGTTACCTTAGAAGAATAAAATAATATTATACAGGCTGAGGTGGAGGATGGAGGGTTAAGCCCCTTCACCTCCCACCCCAACTGGTCCCTGATGTCAATCACTCACCCACTTATTCATTTATCCATCTTTCAATCCAGCCGCCTACCTGAAATCCAGCATTGGCTGATACAGGACACGACTTAAAGGGAAAAATTCAAGCTGGGAACTGTCTCAGACAACCCTGTCTCCTATTTGACTCCTAAAAAAAAAAGATAGCTACCAGGAGAAAAGAGCCACAGTCTTCCCTCACAATCTATCCACAGAAATTCCTCGTGGACAAGGGACAAGACAGAACTCAAGAGCTGAAAGCATCCCTCTACTCACTGAGATAAATGCATATCTCATGGTCTCCTTTGGAAAGGCTAATTAGAAACTCAACAGGACCGGGCGCGGTGGCTCACGCCTGTCATCCCAGCACTTTGGGAGGCTGAGGTGGGCGGATCATGAGGTCAGGAGTTCAAGACCAGCCTGACGAAGATGGTGAAACCCCGTCTCTACTAAAAATACAAAAACTAGCCAGGCATGGTGGCAGGCACCTGTAGTCCCAGCTACTCGGGAGGCTGAGGCAGGAGAATCACTTGAACCTGGGAGGTGGAGGTTGCAGTGAGCCGAGATCCCACCACTGCACTCCAGCCTGGGTGACAGAGCGAGACGGGCGCAGTGACTCACGCCTGTCATCCCAGCACTTTGGGAGGCCGAGGCGGGCGGATCATGAGGTCAGGAGTTCAAGACCAGCCTGACCAAGATGGTGAAACCCGATCTCTACTAAAAATACAAAGAATAGCCAGGTGTGGGGGCGGGTGCCTGTCATCCCAGCTACTCAGGAGGCTGAGGCAGGAGAATCACTTGAACCCGGGAGGTGGAGGTTGCAGTGAGCCGAGATCCCACCACTGCACTCCAGCCTGGGCAACAGAGCAAGACTCCATCTCAAAAAAAAAATAAAAATAAAAATAAAAATTCTCATTTTCAGGTGACAGAGTGAGACTCATCTCAAAAAAAAAAAAAAAACAAAAAGAAAGAAACTCAACAGAACACAAGTGTTTGTCTCTTGCCTACCTGTGATCTGGAAACCCTCTTCCCGCCTCATATTGTCCTGCTTTTCCAAACCAAACCAACACAGAGCAAGCTGTGCCCTGACCACCTTGGGACACGTCGTCAGAGCCTCCTAAGATGGTGTGACGGACGCTGTCTTCTTAACCTTGGCAGAAGAAACTTCCTGACTTGCTGGAGATCTGTCTCAGATATTTGGGGTTCACAGGCGTCTTATCCCGGGAGGTGACCGTGTATGAGAGATTTAATGAGGGTAGGAAGACACTTCAGAGATACTCTCTTAAATATGTTTTAGGGGCAACCTCACGGACCAGGGGCCATGAGGACAGCAAAGATCCAGCACCCACATGCACAGTATTTTTTCTTACCATCTAGTCCTTTATTTAAAATAATAATGATAATAATAAAAGATTGGCTGAGCCCTGCTCCCGGGTGAAAACACAGACGTAGGAATTGAGATGGTGGATGAGATTATAGGTGTGGATGAAGTCCCTGGGAGAACCTAGAGTGAGAAGGAAAGAGCCAGGAGTAGAATGTAGGACCCTCCAGGAGAGGAGGAGGCGAAGGAGGGCGAGAGGACGGCCAGGAAAGGATTGGGATGCAGTGAGAGGAGGGGGGAGAAGGGAGAGGGAGAGAAGAGAGAGAAAAGAGAGGAATGAAACAGAGAAAGGAAAGAGGAGAGGGGAGAGAGAGAGAAGAGAGAGGGAGAGGAAGAAAGAGAGGGGAGGGACAGAGGCAGACGGAGAGGAAGAGAAGAGAGAAGGGGAGAGAAAAAGAGGAAAAAAACAGAGAGAAGAGAGAAAGAGAGGGGCAGAAACACAGACAGAGAGGGGGAGAGAGACAGGGAGAGGAAGAGGAGAGAGACAGGCACAGAGAGAAAAAAGGAATGAAACAGACAGAAGAGAGACAGAGAGAAAGAGGGGGAGAAACACGGAGACGTGAGAGAGAGAGAGAGAGGAAGAGGAGAGACGGGGAGAGAAAAAAAGAGGAAAAAAACAGAGAGAAGAGAAAGAAAGAGAGAGAAGCGAGGGAAAATGCAGAGAAGAGAAAAAGAGAGAGAGAGAGGCACAGTCCAGTCTGCAGCCCCCACAGAACCTGCAACCTCTGCCCCTGCTAAAAGCCAGAGTGGAGACCCTTCATCTCTTCAGTGGAGGAAGGAGCTCCTGCTCCCACAGGGAAAGGGGATGCAGGGAGAGGGAAGGAGCTCCTGCTCCCACAGGGAAAGGGGATGCAGGGAGAGGGAAGGAGCTCTCACTCCCACAGGGAAAGGGGCTGCAGGGAGAGGGAAGGAGCTCTCACTCCCACAGGGAAAGGGGATGCAGGGAGAGGGAAGGAGCTCTCACTCCCACAGGGAAAGGGGATGCAGGGAGAGGGAAGGAGCTCCTGCTCCCACAGGGAAAGGGGCTGCAGGGAGAGGGAAGGAGCTCTCACTCCCACAGGGAAAGGGGATGCAGGGAGAGGGAAGGAGCTCTCACTCCCACAGGGAAAGGGGATGCAGGGAGAGGGAAGGAGCTCCTGCTCCCACAGGGAAAGGGGCTGCAGGGAGAGGGAAGGAGCTCTCACTCCCACAGGGAAAGGGGATGCAGGGAGAGGGAAGGAGCTCTCACTCCCACAGGGAAAGGGGCTGCAGGGAGAGGGAAGGAGCTCTCACTCCCACAGGGAAAGGGGATGCAGGGAGAGGGAAGGAGCTCTCACTCCCACAGGGAAAGGGGATGCAGGGAGAGGGAAGGAGCTCCTGCTCCCACAGGGAAAGGGGCTGCAGGGAGAGGGAAGGAGCTCTCACTCCCACAGGGAAAGGGGATGCAGGGAGAGGGAAGGAGCTCTCACTCCCACAGGGAAAGGGGATGCAGGGAGAGGGAAGGAGCTCCTGCTCCCACAGGGAAAGGGGCTGCAGGGAGAGGGAAGGAGCTCCTGCTCCCACAGGGAAAGGGGATGCAGGGAGAGGGAAGGAGCTCTCACTCCCACAGGGAAAGGGGCTGCAGGGAGAGGGAAGGAGCTCTCACTCCCACAGGGAAAGGGGATGCAGGGAGAGGGAAGGAGCTCCTGCTCCCACAGGGAAAGGGGCTGCAGGGAGAGGGAAGGAGCTCTCACTCCCACAGGGAAAGGGGATGCAGGGAGAGGGAAGGAGCTCTCACTCCCACAGGGAAAGGGGATGCAGGGAGAGGGAAGGAGCTCCTGCTCCCACAGGGAAAGGGGCTGCAGGGAGAGGGAAGGAGCTCTCACTCCCACAGGGAAAGGGGATGCAGGGAGAGGGAAGGAGCTCTCACTCCCACAGGGAAAGGGGCTGCAGGGAGAGGGAAGGAGCTCTCACTCCCACAGGGAAAGGGGATGCAGGGAGAGGGAAGGAGCTCTCACTCCCACAGGGAAAGGGGCTGCAGGGAGAGGGAAGGAGCTCCTGCTCCCACAGGGAAAGGGGCTGCAGGGAGAGGGAAGGAGCTCTCACTCCCACAGGGAAAGGGGATGCAGGGAGAGGGAAGGAGCTCTCACTCCCACAGGGAAAGGGGATGCAGGGAGAGGGAAGGAGCTCTCACTCCCACAGGGAAAGGGGCTGCAGGGAGAGGGAAGGAGCTCTCACTCCCACAGGGAAAGGGGCTGCAGGGAGAGGGAAGGAGCTCTCACTCCCACAGGGAAAGGGGATGCAGGGAGAGGGAAGGAGCTCTCACTCCCACAGGGAAAGGGGATTCAGGGAGAGGGAAGGAGCTCCTGCTCCCACAGGGAAAGGGGATGCAGGGAGAGGGAAGGAGCTCTCACTCCCACAGGGAAAGGGGATGCAGGGAGAGGGAAGGAGCTCCTGCTCCCACAGGGAAAGGGGCTGCAGGGAGAGGGAAGGAGCTCTCACTCCCACAGGGAAAGGGGATGCAGGGAGAGGGAAGGAGCTCTCACTCCCACAGGGAAAGGGGATGCAGGGAGAGGGAAGGAGCTCTCACTCCCACAGGGAAAGGGGATGCAGGGAGAGGGAAGGAGCTCCTGCTCCCACAGGGAAAGGGGATGCAGGGAGAGGGAAGGAGCTCTCACTCCCACAGGGAAAGGGGATGCAGGGAGAGGGAAGGAGCTCTCACTCCCACAGGGAAAGGGGATGCAGGGAGAGGGAAGGAGCTCTCACTCCCACAGGGAAAGGGGATGCAGGGAGAGGGAAGGAGCTCTCACTCCCACAGGGAAAGGGGATGCAGGGAGAGGGAAGGAGCTCCTGCTCCCACAGGGAAAGGGGATGCAGGGAGAGGGAAGGAGCTCTCACTCCCACAGGGAAAGGGGCTGCAGGGAGAGGGAAGGAGCTCTCACTCCCACAGGGAAAGGGGATGCAGGGAGAGGGAAGGAGCTCTCACTCCCACAGGGAAAGGGGATGCAGGGAGAGGGAAGGAGCTCTCACTCCCACAGGGAAAGGGGCTGCAGGGAGAGGGAAGGAGCTCCTGCTCCCACAGGGAAAGGGGATGCAGGGAGAGGGAAGGAGCTCCTGCTCCCACAGGGAAAGGGGCTGCAGGGAGAGGGAAGGAGCTCTCACTCCCACAGGGAAAGGGGATGCAGGGAGAGGGAAGGAGCTCTCACTCCCACAGGGAAAGGGGATGCAGGGAGAGGGAAGGAGCTCCTGCTCCCACAGGGAAAGGGGATGCAGGGAGAGGGAAGGAGCTCCTGCTCCCACAGGGAAAGGGGATGCAGGGAGAGGGAAGGAGCTCCTGCTCCCACAGGGAAAGGGGCTGCAGGGAGAGGGAAGGAGCTCTCACTCCCACAGGGAAAGGGGATGCAGGGAGAGGGAAGGAGCTCCTGCTCCCACAGGGAAAGGGGATGCAGGGAGAGGGAAGGAGCTCCTGCTCCCACAGGGAAAGGGGATGCAGGGAGAGGGAAGGAGCTCTCACTCCCACAGGGAAAGGGGATGCAGGGAGAGGGAAGGAGCTCTCACTCCCACAGGGAAAGGGGATGCAGGGAGAGGGAAGGAGCTCTCACTCCCACAGGGAAAGGGGATGCAGGGAGAGGGAAGGAGCTCTCACTCCCACAGGGAAAGGGGATGCAGGGAGAGGGAAGGAGCTCCTGCTCCCACAGGGAAAGGGGATGCAGGGAGAGGGAAGGAGCTCTCACTCCCACAGGGAAAGGGGATGCAGGGAGAGGGAAGGAGCTCTCACTCCCACAGGGAAAGGGGATGCAGGGAGAGGGAAGGAGCTCCTGCTCCCACAGGGAAAGGGGATGCAGGGAGAGGGAAGGAGCTCTCACTCCCACAGGGAAAGGGGATGCAGGGAGAGGGAAGGAGCTCTCACTCCCACAGGGAAAGGGGCTGCAGGGAGAGGGAAGGAGCTCTCACTCCCACAGGGAAAGGGGATGCAGGCAGAGGGAAGGAGCTCCTGCTCCCACAGGGAAAGGGGCTGCAGGGAGAGGGAAGGAGCTCTCACTCCCACAGGGAAAGGGGATGCAGGGAGAGGGAAGGAGCTCCTGCTCCCACAGGGAAAGGGGATGCAGGGAGAGGGAAGGAGCTCTCACTCCCACAGGGAAAGGGGATGCAGGGAGAGGGAAGGAGCTCTCACTCCCACAGGGAAAGGGGATGCAGGGAGAGGGAAGGAGCTCTCACTCCCACAGGGAAAGGGGATGCAGGGAGAGGGAAGGAGCTCCTGCTCCCACAGGGAAAGGGGCTGCAGGGAGAGGGAAGGAGCTCCTGCTCCCACAGGGAAAGGGGATGCAGGGAGAGGGAAGGAGCTCCTGCTCCCACAGGGAAAGGGGATGCAGGGAGAGGGAAGGAGCTCTCACTCCCACAGGGAAAGGGGCTGCAGGGAGAGGGAAGGAGCTCTCACTCCCACAGGGAAAGGGGCTGCAGGGAGAGGGAAGGAGCTCCTGCTCCCACAGGGAAAGGGGATGCAGGGAGAGGGAAGGAGCTCCTGCTCCCACAGGGAAAGGGGCTGCAGGGAGAGGGAAGGAGCTCCTGCTCCCACAGGGAAAGGGGATGCAGGGAGAGGGAAGGAGCTCCTGCTCCCACAGGGAAAGGGGATGCAGGGAGAGGGAAGGAGCTCTCACTCCCACAGGGAAAGGGGATGCAGGGAGAGGGAAGGAGCTCTCACTCCCACAGGGAAAGGGGATGCAGGGAGAGGGAAGGAGCTCTCACTCCCACAGGGAAAGGGGATGCAGGGAGAGGGAAGGAGCTCCTGCTCCCACAGGGAAAGGGGCTGCAGGGAGAGGGAAGGAGCTCCTGCTCCCACAGGGAAAGGGGTTGCAGGGAGAGGGGCCACAGGTGGTCTCTTATCTCTCTTACCCCAGCCGGCTGGGGCTGCGGCTATCCCAGAACAGAACACAGGGGCTAACTTAGAAACCGCAGACATTTACCGCTCAGAGCTCTGGAGGCTGGAAGACAAAGATCCAGGTGTGGTGGGTTCTGTGTGTATGGAAAGGCCTCCTGCTTCATAGACAGCGCCTTCTCTCTGTGCCCTCACGTGGTGGAAGGGGCCTCCCCGGCGACCCTTTTATAAGGGCAGTCATCCCAGCCATGAGCCTCCAACCCTATGACCTCCTCACCTCCCAAAGACCCCACCTCCCAATATCATCAACTTTGGAGAGAGGATTTCTTTCCTTTTTTTTTTTTTTATTATACTTTAAGTTCTGGGGTACATGTGCAGAACGTGCAGGTTGGTTACATAGGTATACACGTGCCATGGTGGTTTTCTGCACCCATCAACCCGTCGTCTACATTAGGTGTTTCTCCTAATGCTCTCCCTCACCTTCCCCCAACCCCCTGACAGGCCCTGGTGTGTGATGTTCCCCTTCCTGTGTCCATGTGTTCTCATTGTTCAGCTCCCACTTATGGGTGAGAACATGCGGTGTTTGGTTTTCTGTTCCTGTGTGAATTTGCTGAGAATGATGGTTTCCAGCTTCATCCATGTCCCTGCAAAGGACATGAACTCATCCTTTTTCATGGCTGCATAGTATTCCATGGTGTGTATGTGCCACATTTTCTTCATCCAGTCTGTCATTGATGCGCATTTGGATTGGTTCCAAGTCTTTGCTATTGTGAACAGTGCCGCAAAAACATACGTGCACATGTGTCTTTATAGGAGAATGATTTACAATCCTTTGGGTATATACCCAGTAATGAAATTGCTGGGTCAAATGATATTTCTGGTTGTAGATCCTTGAGGAATCACCACACTGTCTTCCACAATGGTTGAACTAAGGATGGGGAGACAATTTCAACACAGGAATTTGGGTAACACAGACATTCAGGCCACAGCTGAGCACGGGACAAGCATCACTGCTGAGCTGGCCGCCCCGTGGACACCACCTACCTGCACGCCCGCTTGCCTGTCAAAGATCAAATGCCAAGGACGGTCAAAAAACCCAACGTTTATCAAGCTCTCTCTGGGTGCCACGTCCTTCTGCGCAACTGGGCTTATTAAGACACAGATAGAAACAGCGTTCGTTGGAATCTGAACACTGAGATACTGTAAATATCCTGCCAAAAGGAAGGAATCTCTGAAAACATTGTCATGACAATCATATTAACAGATATTTCATCTTCTCCGCCTTGGGTAGGGCTTTGCAAGGTCTTTGTAGAGAATTTCCGTTCAAGCCTCCGAGAATCCTCAAGGGCCCTCTGCCTCCGGAAGGATTTGAAGGTCTTGGTGGAGACAGCGTTGAAGAAATATCATTAAAAGCAAAATCTGCCAACCCCGGGGACCTCACCACGAAGGTAAAAGAGAAAAGAAAATGATTTTATTGTGGAACCAGCATCAAACCAGAATGCCAAGCCTATCACAAGCAATTCACTAAAGAGGTTGTAATGACACGAAGCAATCTCACCCTTCGCTAGATGTAAGTGTGTACAGCCCATTGCCTTAGCTGGCTTTTGCAATCTCGAGTCAGGTGACAACTTAGACCCTTCTCGTCCGCAGACACTGGAGCTAGGGGCGTTTTCCTCCTTCATGATCTCATTTGAAAAGAGGTGGCTCCCAGGTCCTTGGGGAAACGTTCCTGGGTTATGAGACAGGCAAGTGGATTATTTAGACTTGAAAAAGATTTATACCCCTTTGCCGGGCGCGGTGGCTCACGCCTGTCATCCCAGCACTTTGGGAGGCCGAGGCGGGCGGATCACGAGGTCAAGAGATGGAGACTATACTGGCTAACACGGTGAAACCCCGTCTCTACTAAAAATACAAAAAAAATTAGCCGGGCGTGGTGGCGGGCGCCTGTAGTCCCAGCTACTTGGGAGGCTGAGGCAGGAGAAAGGCGTGAACCCGGGAGGTGGAGCTTGCAGTGAGCCTTGTCACGCCACTGCACTCCAGCCTGGGCGACAGAGCGAGATTCCATCTCAAAAAAAAAAAAAAAAAAAAAAAAGAGCAAGCACATACATGGGACACTGTTTATCTTTGAAAGAGGAGGCTGAGGTTATTCTGTCTGATTATGTCCAGTGTCTCCTTTTTATTCTTTTTTTTGCATAAATAAAATACGTTAATTATAGAATTAGAAAAGAATACACTTTGAGAAGGGAGAATGCTGTTGATGGAAAGAAAAGGGTCATGGTAAAACACTATCTCTACTAAAAATACAAAATTAGCCGGGTGTGGTGGTGCATGCCTGTAATCCCAGCTACTCGGTGGGCTGAGGCAGGAGAATTGCTTCAACCCAGGAGGCGGAGGTTGCAGTGAGCTGAGATTGTGCCATTAAACTCCAGCCTGGGCAACAGAGCGAGACTCCATCTCAAATAATAATAAGAAGAAGAAGATATCTTGGTCCTAATATCTAAACATATCAAAAAGTTGGCCAAACAAACATGTGAAAAAAAAGCTCATCATCACTGGTCATCAGAGAAATGCAAATCAAAACCACAATGAGATACCACCTCACACCAGTTAGAAGGGCGATCATTAAAAAGTCAGGAAACAACAGGTGCTGGAGAGGATGTGGAGAAATAGGAACACTTTTACACTGTTGGTGGGACTGTAAACTAGTTCAACCATTATGGAAGACAGTGTGGCGATTCCTCAGGGATCTAGAACCAGAAATACCATTTGACCCAGCCATCCCATCACTGGGTATATACCCAAAGGATTATAAATCATCCTGCTATAAAGACACATGCACACGTATGTTTATTGCGGCACTATTCACAACAGCAAAGATTTGGAACCAACCCAAATGCCCATCAATAATAGACTGGAGAAAGAAAACGTGGCACAGAGACACCATGGAATACTATGCAGCCATCAAAAAGGAGGAGTTCATGTCCTTTGCAGGGACATGGATGAAGCTGGAAACCATCATTCTCAGCAAACTAACACAGAAACAGAAAACCAAACACCGCATGTTGTCACTCATAAGTGGGAGTCGAACAATGAGAACACATGGACACAGGGAGGGGAACATCACACACCAGGGCCTGTCAGGGGGTGGGGGGATAGGGGAGGGAGAGCATTAGGAAAAATACCTAATGTAGATGATGGGTTGATGGGTGCAGAAAACCACCATGGCATGTGTATACGTATGTAACAAACCTGCCCGTTCTGCACACATACCCCAGAACTTAAAGTAAAATAAAACAAACACACAAACAAAAACTGAAAAAAAGAAAGTTGGCCAAAATATATGAACAGGACTTGGACGCTGGCTCATTTCTACGTTGGTATCTTAAGTAGTGATATTTTGTAAAAATCTGACCCAGACACGCTACTGTCTCTCTCTCTCTCTCTTTCTCTCTAATCCAAAATCATCTTTGGAAAGAAACACAACTCTTGTAAAAAATAAAACACGAGGCACCTGACTCACAAGACGGCAGCCTCAAGTTACACCACAAGTAACCGAGGTCCTTTCTGTTCACCACCACGTGGCCTCAAGGTTGCAAGGAGGCTGCTGCTGATCCGGGCATCACAGCCACACTCAGAGACAGGAGCGGAGTAGAGGTGGAGGGGCCGTGCTAGCCACACCTCCTCTTGTATATTTACCTTCCGTTCCATTGGCTGAGATTGGACCCCAGGGCCACCCCTAGGTAAAGAGAAGCAAAAGGTTGTCTTTGGCAGGTAATTCAACTGCTGGTTGTTCACACAACACCTCTTTTCAAAATTGGTTTTATAGCCCGAGTGGTGGCTCATGCCTGTCATCCCAACACTTTGGGAGGCTGAGGCAGGCAGATCACTTGAGGTCAGGAGTTCAAAACCAGCTTCAGCAACAAGGCAAGACTGTCTCTAAAAAAAATAAATAAATAAAACAAAAAAATTGCCAGGCATGGTGGTGCACACCTGTGGTCCCAGCTACTCTGGAGGCTGAGGTGGGAGGATCACTTGAGCCCAGGAGTTCGAAGTTCCAACGAGCCATGATTGCACCACTGTGCTCCAGCGTGGGCAGCGGAGTGAGACCGTGTCTTGCAAAAAAACCCAAAAAACAAAAACAACAGTTTTCTATGACTAGAGGGAAGTCACTCAGTTGTAGCATCATTTCCGAAGGTCCCTCCTTCTCTGAGCTTGGAATAACCGGGAAAATTGGATAAGGTTAGAGAAAACAAGGGGAGTAATGACCTAGTTCCCAACAGACCATCGGCTCCAAGCTCTTCCTATGTTGAGTATTAGAGTTTTGGAGTAAGTTCCATGGATGAGGTGGCTTCCATTTCCTAATCAACCTCAGAGAAAACAAATCATGTGTAAAGGTTGCCGACATTCCCAGTTAAACACAGAAGGAGGGGACCTTTTAGCCTCCGTAGCTGTTGCTTTTTTTTTTTTCTTTTTTTGAGACAGAGTCTCGCTCTGTCACCCAGGCTGGAGTGCAATGGCGTGATCTCGGCTCACTGCAACCTCCACCTCCCAGGTTCAAACAATCCTCTCCCTCAGCCTCCCGAGTAGCTGGGATTACAGATGCCTGCCACCACGCCTGGTTAATTTTTTGGTATTTTTAGTAGAGACAGGGTTTCACCATCTTGGCCAGGCTGGTCTTGAACTCCTGACCTCCTGATCCACCTGCCTCGGCCTCCCAAAGTGCTGGGATTATAGCCATGAGCCACCCCACCTGGCCCCTGCAATATATATATATGTATTTTTTTTTTTTTGGTGGCATATTCTGAAGCTCTTCAGGGTCTCCCAGGCTAATTCTTGAGACAGTCACCATTTTCCCTCCAGTGGAAACTCGGAGCTTCACCGGGAAATCGTTCATTTCAATCAGGATGTAGGGGACCTCACCCCATAGAACCATCACGCTATTAGGGCAGGAAAAGCAAAAAACTGTAAAAAAGCTGACACGTTTGTTTTTTTAATACAGGACGTAACTTAATTAATTAACTCTAAAATCCAGCATATAAAGTAGATCACTGGCCACTAGAAGAAGAGTAATTGATTTTTTTTTCTACCCAATACAGTTGCATAATTTATTCTTATTATTCATTTATATGGCATCTCTCTTTTGAGAAGTGCATAATGGTTTTGCAACTTTGGTGTCTTATTAAACATTCATCATCGCCCTCAGAGGACGGCAAGAGGCAAATATTATTACATTATCCAACAATTTCTCCATGAAAACCTATAATTGGAATGAAAAGCCATTTCAAGGAATGAAATAATGCCAGTGAAAGGTAACGCTGAGATAATTGAATGATCGGCTTTTCTGATATTCAGCACAAAAGAGCCGTAAATTGACTCTCTTGTCCAGCCCAGGTACCACATTGCTAACGGTGACATGACCACAGACCCCAGGAATGCAGCTTCCTACGGGTGGGTGTCTGCCCCTTGGGGCAAAGGATCGGGAGGGAGTCACTTCCTGCTGCGTTCTGCCTGCTTTTGGCAAGGTTGAGAGAGAGAGAGAGTGAAATATGTGTGGGAGCACGGATATTGATAATCCAGTTGGATGATAGATAGATGGATAGATAGATAATAGACAGATACATACATACATAGATAGATGGATAGATAGATGATAGATAGATATAATACATAGATACATAGATGAGAGATGATAGATATAATAGATGATAGATAAGATAGATGATAGATATAATAGATACATAGATGATAGATATAAATAGATATAATAGATAGATAATAGATGCAATAGATAGATGATAGATAAGATAGATAATAGATATAATAAATACATGATAAGATAGATGATACATACATACATAGATACATAGATAAATATAATAGATACATAGAATATAGATACATAGATATAATAGATACAAAGAATAAATAGATATAGATAAATAGATAAAATAGATACATAGAATACATAAATAGATATGGATACATAGATATAATAGATACATAGAATAGATATAGATAAATAGATACATAGAATACATAAATAGATATACATAGATATAATAGATACATAGAATAAATAGATATAGATACATACATAAAATAGATACATAGAATACATAAATAGATATAGATACATAGATATAATAGATACATACAATAGATATAGATACATAGATAAAATAGATACATAGAATACATAAATAGATATAGATACATAGATATAATAGATACATACAATAGATATAGATAAATAGATAAAATAGATACATAGAATACATAAATAGATATGGATACATAGATATAATAGATACATAGAATAGATATAGATAAATAGATACATAGAATACATAAATAGATATAGATACACAGATATAATAGATACATAGAATAAATATAGATACATAGATAAAATAGATACATAGAATACATAAATAGATATAGATACATAGATATAATAGATACATACAATAGATATAGATAAATAGATAAAATAGATACATAGAATACATAAATAGATATAGATACATAGATATAATAGATACATACAATAGATATAGATAAATAGATAAAATAGATACATAGAATACATAAATAGATATGGATACATAGATATAATAGATACATAGAATAGATATAGATAAATAGATACATAGAATACATAAATAGATATAGATACACAGATATAATAGATACATAGAATAAATAGATATAGATACATAGATAAAATAGATACATAGAATACATAAATAGATATAGATACATAGATATAATAGATACATACAATAGATATAGATAAATAGATAAAATAGATACATAGAATACATAAATAGATATAGATACATAGATATAATAGATACATCGATAGGTAAGATATATAGATAGATTAATAGATAGAGAAAGAGAGAGAGATGATAGCTGATCATCTCTCTTCTAGGTCTATATGGGCTACATTCACGGCGCCCCTTTCCCTGTGGGAAAGAAAAAGAAAGAAAGAGAGAAAGAAGAAAAGAAAGAAATGAAGGAAGGAAGGAGGGAAGGAAGGAAGGACAGGAAGGAAGGAAGGAAGAAGGGAAGGAGGGAAGGACAGGAAGGAGGGAGGCAGGCAAGAAAGGGAATACTTTTTGCTGTTGTTGACCAAATGATTACCTTTAGAAATCCTTAAATGATGAGTTTAATTTCAAATGCTGAAGTGGTTACAAACAGGCTTTTCTCACCACCATTTATGAGCTATTGAAACAGTCGCTTGATTCTCAACTGTGTTTGTTGTGAGACGTGTGTGGTAGCACCCAAAACCAGTCCAGTTTTTCAACTATGGAAGTGTAGGTTTGTTTTTTTTGGTTTTGTTTTGTTTTTAAGAGGCCAAGACACATAGATTTAGCGTTAACTTCTGAAAAAAAAGTGCAAGAAGCATGAACATCTCTTTCTGTACATTAGAAATGTGTCTCAGAATGCAATATATTGGATAAAAAGGGGAAAAACACCACAGAGAGGTGACATAATCTCACGGTGGCCCCTGGGCTTTGTTTAAAGAAAATAAATCAGTCTGGGAGTGGTGGCTCACGCCTGTCATCCCAGCACTTTGGGGAGGCTGAGGCAGGTGAATCACCTGAGGTCAGGAGTTCGAGACCAGCCTGGCCAACATGGAGAAACCCCATCTCTAGTAAAAATACAAAAATTAGCCGGGCGTGGTGGTGGGCACCTGTAGTCCCAGGTACTCGGGAGACTGAGGCAGGAGAATGGTGTGAACCCAGGAGGCGGAGGTTGCAGTGAGCCGAGACCACAGCACTGCACTCCAGCCTGGGTGACGAGGGCGCAACTCCATGTCAACAAAAAGAACAGAATTCGGCCGGGCACGGTGTTTCATGCCTGTAATTACAGCACTTTGGGAGGCCAAGGCAGGTGGATCACCTGAGGTCAGGAGATCGAGACCATCCTGGCCAACATGGTGAAACCCTATCTCAACTAAAAATACAAAAATTAGCCGGGCGTGGCGGAGGGCACCTGTCATCCCAGCTACTCGGGAGGCTGAGGCAGGAGAATCGCTTGAACCCAGGAGGCGGAGGTTGCAATGAGCTGAGATCGAGCCACTGCACTCCAGCCTGGGTGACAAGAGCGAGACTCCATCTCAAAAAAAAAAAAAAAAGAACAGAAGTCAGATGTCCTCAGGAACCCTGATGTTATCCTAGGGGGATATCCTAAGAAGTATCAAGACCCCATAGCCACCAGCAGCAAGCACAGCAGTGGCCAAACTTTGAAATTCTTTTCTATGTATAAGCAAGTCTATTAAAAAATAAACGCAGAACAGACAAATTCGTTGAGACAGAAAGGAGCTTTGTGACTGCCAGGGGCTGAGAGAGAGGGATTGGGGCTGTGACTGTTTGATAGGTTTCCTTCTGGAAAATTCTATTCCTAGAATATTTTGCTCCCCCAGAAGGAACCCTATGAAACAGACACACCCCCAATCCCTCTCATTGTAAATGTACAGCAACATTGTAAATGCACACACACGTCCCTGAACTGTTCACTTTTGAAAGGATTGCTTGCGTGCCATGCAAACTTAATCTCAGTTTTAAAAAATTGAGAAGCTGGGTGTGGTAGCTCACGCCTGTAATCCCAGCGCTTTGGGAGGCCAAGGAGGGCGGATCACGAGGTCAAGAGATCGAGACCATCCTGGCCAACACGGTGAAACCCCGTCTGTACCAAAAATACAAAAAATTAGCCGGGCTTCGTGGTGGGCGCCCCTTCGTCCGGCCTGAAGTCTCTTTTATAAGGGATGAATCCCATTCATGAGGATCCAACCCTCCTGACCACCACGCGCCTCGGCCTCCCAAAGTGCTGGGATTACAGGCGTGAGCCACCGCGCCCGGCCAGATGTCCACATCTTAATTCATCGTAAGTTCCTTCAAATCAACCGTTGTTGAGGCAGAAATCAACTGGCTCTTGGGGCTCATGATGTGGGGGTGACCTACCACATTTGTGTGTGTGTGTGTTTAGTGTGGTGTCTGTCCTGTGCAGAGTGTGTGTGTTTAGCGACGTCTGCGTCTGTTGCGTGTAATTGTAGATTATGTGTTATGTGTGTGTATTCAGTGTGACGTCTGTCCTGTGCAGAGTGTATGTGTTTAGTGTGGTTTGTGTGTGTTGTGTGTAGTGTGTATTTTCTGTGTTGTAAGTGTGTGGTGTCTGGTATCTGTATTGTGCATAGTGTGTGTTTAGTGTGGTTTGCATGTGTTGTGTGCAATGTGTATTTTGTGGGTGCAGTGTGTGTTTAGTGTGGTTTGTGTTGTGTGTAGTATGTATTTGTGTGTTTTGTGTGTGTATTGTGTGGCATCTGTGTTGTGCATAACGTCTGTGTTTAGTGTTGTGTATATGTAGTAGGTATTTTGTGTGTTGCATGTGTGTGTTTTATGTGGCATCTGTTTTGCGCACAGAATATGTGTTTAGTGTGGTTTGTGTGTATTTTGTGTGTTGTATGTGTGTGTGTTGTGTGGCATCTGTTGTGCACAGTGTATGTGTTTACTGTGGTTTGTGTGTGTTGTGTGTAGTGTGTATTTTGTGTGTTGTAAGTGTCTGTTGTCTGGTATCTGTATTGTGCATAGTGTGTGTTTACTGTGGTTTGTGTGTGTTGTGTGTAGTGTGTATTTTGTGTGTTGGGTGTGTGCGTGTTGTGTGGCATCTGTGTTGTGCATATGTGTTTAGTGTGGTTTGTGTGTGCTGTGTGTAGTGTGTATTTTGTGTGTTATATGTGTGTGTGTGGTGTGGCATCTGTGTTGTGCATAGTGTGTGTGGTTTGTGAGGCCAGTCTGTGTTTTTCTATGTATTTTGTGTGTCATATGTATTTTGTGTATATGTGTATTTAGTGTGGTGTTTGTACTGTGCAGAGTGTGTGTGTTTAGTGTGGTTTGTGTGGTTTGTGTGTAGTGTGCATTTGTGTGTGCAGTGTGTGGTTTGTGCTGTGTTGTGTATAGTATGTATTTGCGTGTTTTATGTGTGTGTGTTCTGTGGCATCTGTGTTGTGCATATGTGTTTAGTGTGGTTTGTGTGTGTTGTGTATATTTTGTGTGTTCTATGTGTGTGTGTTGTGTGGCATCTTTGTTGTGCATAGCATATGTGTTTAGTGTGGTTTGTGTGTGCTGTGTGTAGTGTGTATTCTGTGTGTTGTGTGCAGTAGGTGTTTTGTGTGTAGTGTGTATTTTATGTGTTGTGTGTGTGTGGTGTGGCATCTGTGTTGTGCATAGTGTATGTGTTTACTGTGGTTTGTGTGTGTTGGGACTGGGACCTAATGGCTGTCTACACAGCAGGCTCCTATGCAGCTCCATCCTGGGACTGGGACCTAATGGCCGTCTATGCAGCAGACTAGGATGTACCTGCATCCTGGGACCTAATGGCCGTCTACACAGCAGGCTTGACTCCAGCTCCATCCTGGGACTGGGACCTAATGGCTGTCTACACAGCAGGCTCGACTCCAGCTCCATCCTGGGACTGGGACCTAATGGCTGTCTACACAGCAGGCTCCTATGCAGCTCTATCCTGGGACTAGGACCTAATGGTCATCTACGCAGCAGACTCAAATCCAGCTCCATCCTGGGACCTAATGGCCATCTATGCAGCAGACTTGGATCCACCTGCGTCCCGGGACCTAATGGCCGTCTATGCAGCAGACTTGAATCCAGCTCCGTCTCAGGACCTAATGGATGTCTACACAGCAGGCTCGAATCCAGCTCCGTCCTGGGACCTCATGGCCATCTATGCAGCAGACTCAAATCCAGCTCCGTCCCGGGACCTAATGGCTGTCTACACAGCAGGCTCGAATCCAACTCCATCCCAGGACCTAATGGCTGTCTACACAGCAGGCTCGAATCCAGCTCCATCCCGGGACCTAATGGCCATCTATGCAGCAGACTCGAATCCAGCTCTGTCCCGGGACCTAATGGCTGTCTACACAGCAGGCTCGAATCCAGCTCCATCCCGGGACATAATGGCCGTCTATGCAGCAGACTCGAATCCAGCTCTGTCCCAGGACCTAATGGCTGTCTACACAGCAGGCTCGAATCCAACTCCATCCCAGGACCTAATGGCTGTCTACACAGCAGGCTCGAATCCAGCTCCGTCCCGGGACCTAATGGCCGTCTATGCAGCAGACTCGAATCCAGCTCCGTCCCAGGACCTAATGGGTGTCTACACAGCAGGCTCGAATCCAGCTCCATCCTGGGACCTGATGGCCGTCTATGCAGCAGGGTTGGCCGCCCACCCCGAGTTTATTCAGCTGCGGCCGCGCCGTCATGCCGTGGAGACTGTCGGCTTTTTCCGGGATCTTTTTTATCATTGCCTTTGCAAAGGTTCCGTCGAGTTTTATGCTGAGCTATGAAATTAGACCGATCGATTTTCTTCCTGCGTACAGAGGCAGAGGGGGAGCGACCTGGCTTTATGAAGTTGTAACGAACTGAATACCGAGGCTTGGCTCTGATCTCGTCTGCAGCAGTGGACGACTAATCCGTGTCCACACTCCACCGAGGATCTGAACAGTCCTGGGCAGGAGGAGGAATCTTCAGACTCGACCCCATCCAGAGGGACGGGGGTTCGAGGCCTGGCTGGTCCCGTCCTGCACTCCCCGGACGCTCCGGCCGTAGGATTTGCAGCTGATTTTAATTGCTTGTCGCCTCTGCTGGCTCACGATGGCTCCGGGAACCCAGCACAGAGACGTAGCACAATGCCAGGCCTGATTTTAATTTCTCGTCGCCTGTGCTGGCTCAGATGGCTCCGGGAACCCAGCACAGAGACAGGCCGGCTCGCAGAAGAGATGCTTCCCGGGAGCGTCTGGGAGGGAGCCTGGCTCTGGCAAGCCGGGGAGGGCTTTGGGGACCGGATTTGCGCTGGGGATGGCCATTCTGCCTGGGATTAACAGGATTAAAAAGCATTAAATGAGCGTCCTCCAACTCCCCACAGCAGACTTGCTTTCCGAAAGGATCCTCCTAGAGGCTCTGAGCACCCGGGGTGACCACAGAAAATAAAGGTTCCCCTTTAGCATGACAAAGGAGGGCTGCACGCATCCAGGGGTACAAATGCTCTGCCATATCCTCAATCCCATTGTTCCCCGCTCCGACACGGGGCCCCCTTCCTCCCCTTTCCCTTTCCCTTTTTTGTTTTTTTTTTTTTTAATTTCTCCGTGCAGAGCTCAAGGTGTCATATTAATTATTTAAATCTCGGGAAGATTTCAGCAGTGATCCACCAAAGGCCCTCTTCGGAGCCAGAAGGCCTTGGCTCTGTGTTAGTTTTTCTTAATTAGAGCTGAAATGAGAACTTTGATCTCCGGGCACAGAATGGCCAAAGAGGAGGCGGGGAAACTTCCCATGCGATTTTTTTTTTTTTTTTTTTTTTTAGTTTTTTTCTTTTCTGCCATACCTATCGTCTGTCTGGGCTGTTACTGTATGACACTTTGATCCACCTCGTTCTGGGGAAACAATTCAAGTACAAGAGGAACTTAAACAACTCAAAGGGCCGGCCGGGATGAGAGCCCAGTGGTTCGTCTGTCGGTCACCGCCTGCCAACACAGTTTTGTTATTTATTTTGGCCGTCTACACAGCAGGCTCAGATGCAGCCACATCCTGGGACCTAATGGCTGTCTACACAGCAGGGTCCAATGCAGCTCCGTCCCAGGATCTAATGGCCATCTATGCAGCAGACTCAGATGCAGCTGCATCCCGGGACCTAATGGCTGTCTACACAGCAGGGTCCAATGCAGCTCCATCCCAGGACCTAATGGCCGTCCATGCAGCAGGCTCAGATGTAGCTGCATCCCGGGACCTAATAGCTGTCTACACAGCAGGGTCCAATGCAGCTCCGTCCCAGGACTTAATGGCCGTCTATGCAGCAGGCTCAGATGTAGCTGCATCCCGGGACCTAATAGCCATCTACATAGCAGGCTCGAATCCAGCTCCATCCTGGGACTGGGACCTAATGGCCGTCTACACAGCAGGCTCGACTCCAGCTCCATCCTGGGACTGGGACCTAATGGCCGTCTACACAGCAGGCTCGAATCCAGCTCCATCCTGGGACTGGGACCTAATGGCCATCTATGCAGCAGACTCGGATGCAGCTACATCCTGGGACCTAATGGCTGTCTACACAGCAGGGTCCAATGCAGCTCTGTCCCAGGACCTAATGGCCGTCTATGCAGCAGGCTCAGATGTAGCTGCATCCCGAGACCTAATAGCCATCTACATAGCAGGCTCGAATCCAGCTCCATCCTGGGACCTAATGGCCATCTATGCAGCAGACTCGGATCCACCTGCGTCCTGGGACCTAATAGCCATCTACATAGCAGGCTCCACTCCAGCTCCATCCTGGGACTGGGACCTAATGGCCGTCTACACAGCAGGCTCGAATCCAGCTCCATCCTGGGACCTAATGGCCATCTATGCAGCAGACTCGGATCCACCTGCGTCCTGGGACCTAATAGCCATCTACATAGCAGGCTCAACTCCAGCTCCATCCTGGGACTGGGACCTAATGGCCGTCTACACAGCAGACTCGGATGCAGCTACATCCCAGGACCTAATGGCTCTCTACACAGCAGGGTCCAATGCAGCTCCGTCCCAGGACCTAATGGCCATCTATGCAGCAGGCTCAGATGTAGCTGCATCCTGGGACCTAATGGCTGTCTACACAGCAGGGTCCAATGCAGCTCCATCCCAGGACCTAATGGCCATCTATGCAGCAGGCTCAGATGTAGCTGCATCCCGGGACCTAATGGCTGTCTACACAGCAGGCTCGAATCCAGCTCCATCCTGGGACCTAATGGCCTTCTATGCAGCAGACTCAGATCCACCTGCATCCTGGGACCTAATAGCCATCTACATAGCAGGCTTGAATCCGGCTCCATCCTGGGACTGGGACCTAATGGCCGTCTACACAGCAGGCTCGAATCCAGCTCCATCCTGGGACCTAATGGCCGTCTATGCAGCAGACTCGGATCCACCTGCGTCCTGGGATGCAGACATGGGGGACAGAGAAGGGATCCTCATCCCAGGCCTCCAACGTGGGGACATGGGGACTAGTCTTGCCTCATTAACGCCTCTGTGTCTGCAGGAGCAGCGGCCGCAGCAAAGGCCCTGATTAAACAGCAGGCCTGAGTTTTCTCTGCAAAAAAAAAAAAAAACGTTTTCCTCTCTCATCGTGGTTTTGCAGACCGGAGCTTCCCCAGAAAGAGGTCACCTCCGAGGGCTCGCCTCGTTAGAATGCCTGGCTCATTTGCATTTGTCTTATGGAAAAAGCACAGGGTGACATCAAGCAATCGGGGGAAAAAATATATATATATATATCAAAAAGTGAGCCACAGTTCACGGAAGATGAAATCTGTGAATTTCACCCAACGCCTCGGAGAGACTACGGTACGGCTTCCTAACGACAAAATCAAAAAGACATCCCCAGCCTCCACCAGCAGGCCCGGCCCCGGGGCCCCGAGCCCACCCTGTGTCCGCCGAGCCCACTTCGCTGAGCTTTGCCTACGAGCCTTCGTTAGCGACCAACGCAGATCAATCCGGCCCCCGGTTCCCTTTGGAATGATTCAGCTGCGTGTCACCCCGTGGGTCAGCGGCGGTTTCCCCCCACTTGCAGAGAACGGGAAGAGGAGCATTTGCTGAGATATCCCTCCAAGATTGAAAGAGCCGGTCTCACAATATCAAGCCGAAGACTCATCCGGAGGTTCTGAGGTTTAGGGCTCTAAATTATAGCAACACGACTGCAATCTTTGAGGGTTTTTTTTTTCTTTCTCTTTTTTTAAATAAGCATGCATATTTTAGAGTGCATTTTCTGCCTCAGAAATAATTGGGATTTACAGCTGTTAAGATAATGACATGCTGTCTCTGTCAGACTCTCGGAGACAGAAGGAGGATTTCTCCCTGGCCTATGGATCCCAGAAGACTGGGGTGTGGACAGACTTTTCCCTGTACCCCCATAATCCAGCACCTCTGGGGCCCAGGGGCAAATGCATATGCTTTGTGATAACGTGTGCGCCTTCCCTTAAGACTCCAAGGCGACAGGACGGCCAGGAAGAGGCTCACAGTTGCTATAATTCCAGCAAAGACACTCCCATGTCTCAGGGCAGGGAATGGGAGAAAACACCTGTTATTTGTCCTGGGAAACAGTCCAAGCCAAGACTTACCTGGTCAGGTGAGCAACGTGGCTTTGACAGCCCCAGACAGCAGCTCAGGAATGTAACGCGCTCAAAAAAAATTTAAAAAAACTGAATTTCTCTAAAACGGTTGTCTGCTGGCAGAGACGGTTAAAAAAAGTCACTTTGGGCTGCGCATGGTGGCTCATGCCTGTCATCCCAGCACTTTGGGAGGCCGAGGCGGGTGGATCCCCTGAGGCCAGGAGCTCCAGACCATCCTGGCCAACATGGTGAAACCCCGTCTCTACTAAAAATACAAAAATGAGCCAGGCGTGGTGGCGGGCGCCTGTAATTCCAGCTACTCGGGAGGCTGAGGCAGGAGAATCGCCTGAACCCGGGAGGCGGAGGTTGCAGTGAACCGAGATCTCACCACTGCACTCCAGCCTGGGCAACAAGAGCGAAACTCCATCAAAAAAAACAAAAAAACAAAAAAACACCGAATTTCTCTAAAACGGTTGTCTGCTGGCAGAGACAGTTAAAAAAAAAATCACTTTGGGCTGGGCACGGTGGCTCACGCCTGTAATCCCAGCACTTTGGGAGGCTGAGGCGGGTGGATCCCCTGAGGTCAGGAGTTCGAGACCAGCCTGGCCAACATGGTGAAACCCCATCTCTACTAAAAATACAAAAATGAGTTGGGCGTGGTGGCGGGCGCCTGTAATCCCAGCTACTGGGGAGGCTGAGGCAAGAGAATCACTCGAACCTGCAGTTCCAGCTATATATTTTTTATATATAAAATCTCTAACCTGGGAGGTGGAGGTTGCAGTGAACCAAGACCACGCCATTGCACTCCAGCCTGGGTGACAGAGGGAGTCTCCATCTGAAAAAAATATATATATATATAAATATATATTTGTAGGTTTATATATAATATAAAAATATATATAAATATGTTTATATATTAATATAAATATAGGTTTATATATTATATATAAATATAGGTTTATATATATTATAAATATAGGTTTATATATAAAAATATAATATGAAAATATATATTGCATATATTACATGTATATAAATATTGCATATATTACATATATTAGATATTACATGTATATTATATTGCATATTATATATGTGTTATATATGTGATATGTAAGTTATGTATGTGTACATTATATATTTTATATTTTATATATGTAATATATTACATATTATGTGTAGTATAATGTATATTATATATGCAATATAATGTATATGGTATATTATGTATGTAATATAACATATATATCTGTAGTATATATAATATGTGTCATATATAATATGTATGTAATATATAAAATATATACATATTAGCCAGGTGTGGTGGCGTGCCCCTGCAGTTCCAGCTACTTGGGAGGCCAAGGTGAGATGATCTCTTAAGCCCAGGAGTTTGAGACCAGCCTGTGCCACGTAGCAAGATCCCATCTGCATTTTAAGAAAAAAAAACAGTTGGGGAGTGAACACCTTTATAGAGAGAGAAAATAAATATCTCTGGGTTCACTTAGGTGAGATGGAGGAATTGCTTGATTAACTATCCTTCCAATCGTTTACATACCAGCCAAGCTCAAAAGGGAGGTGTGGTTTGGAGCACGCCTCCAAGGCTGGGCACCCAGCTCCCAGCTCCCAGCTCTCCGGCATCGTTCGTGTCAGTTACGGAGCGGTAACCGGGACGGTGTGACAGGTGCCCATTCACAATGGGGAAGTGTTTCCTACGCAGGCAGCACACGCAGACCCCAGAGTGGTTTGTTTGTTTGAGATGGAGTCTCGCCCTGTCACCCAGGCTGGAGTGCAGTGGTGAGATCTCGGCTCACTGCATTGTCCACCTCCCAGGTTCAAGCGATTCTCCTGCCTCGGCCTCCCGAGTAGCTGGGATTACAGGCACCCACCACCACACCCAGCTAATTTTTGTATTTTTAGTAGAGACGGGGTTTCACCGTATTAGCCAGGATGGTCTCGATCTCCTGACCTCATGATCCGCCCGCCTCCGCCTCCCAAAGCTCTGGGATGACAGGCGTGAGTGGTATTTACTATCTAGGTGGGAATCATGAGTCGGCTCCTTGCGAGGGGATGTCCCACGACGGGGAATGTCACCTTTTTTCCTTGCAGGCTTTGAAAATCGAGACATCCTTGCGACCTCCTGTTTTGGGGAGAAACAATCCTGTTTCTTCATGACACTCATTACGTCCATTTCATCAGGTGCAATTTCCACGGCTATCAAGTCCTGGCCGCTTGATGGCCATGGACAGGAGGAGAGAAGGGTGCTGGCCAGACGGAGAGAAGGGTGCTGGCCAGACAAAGCCAAGGGTGCTGGCCAGACAAAGCTAAGGGGTTACGAGAGCCAGCCCACCTTCGTCCCCAAAGGAGACAGAGTGGCTCCGAGGCCATCGATGTCCGGCCGGCCGGGGCCTGCTCTCTTCTGGAAAATGAGTTTTTTGCCGTTGGTGAGTGCCAGGGTCCCTCTCAGAGCCCGTCTCTGCAAGGGGATCTTTTAATTACCTCTTTCCCCCAGTGACTTCTTTCGCCCCTGGAGGGGTGGCAAAGCTTTCATACTGTATCCTATTTTAATCTGTCATGACTGAGGAAGCCAGATGGCTCTTGATGACAAGCTCTCCCTCAAAACAGCCCGAACTTTCTATCAGAGGATTTGTAAGATGACGGTTTAAAAAGAGAGAGGCTGGGGGGTGCGTTTGCCTCCCACAAAATAACCTGAATTTTAATTGGACATCATAGTTTGGCAGTGATTTCCACGTGATTACCATTTCTGGTTAAGGAGCAGGTGGATTAGACGCGTAACCAAAATGGTATTAAAAGTTCCCAGAAAGGAGATTTACTTTTAAAATACGGAATCACGAAGAAAAGTTGTCAGGACCCTCATGTGTGGGACTCAGGGCTTCTAACAACTTCCCCTTGCCCAGCGCGTCCCTTTTTTCTTTTTCTTTCTTTTTTTTTTTCTTTGAGACGGAGTCTCGCTTTGTCGCCCAGGCTTGAGTGCAGTGGTGTGATCTCAGCTCACTGCAACCTCCACCTCCTGGGTTCAAGCGTTTCTCCTGTTTCAGCCTCCTGAGTAGCTGGGATGACAGGTGCACGCCAACGCACCTGGCTAACTTTTGTATTTTTTGTAGAGGCAGGTTTTGCCGTGTTGGCCAGACTGGTCTCCAACTCCTGGCCTCAGGTGATCTGTGTGCGACTGTTAATGTGTGTGAGTCTGTGTGTGCTCATGCGCACTGATCCGTGTGTGTCTGTGTATGTGTGTGAGTCTGTATCTATACTCACATGCACTGATCTGTGTGTGACTGTTGCCATGAAAATAGATGTGTGTGGGTGCACGTTTCTACCTGTGGGTGTGTGCACATGTGTGTGACTGTGTATGTGTGTGTCTGTGTACTCATGCGCACTGATCCCTGTGCGACTGTGTATGTGTGTGTCTGCAGACTCACACACATAAACAGTAACACAGATCAGTGCGCACAACACACAGACACACACATACACAGTCACACATGGATCAGGGCGCATGAGCACATGCAGACACACATACACAGTGAATGCACAAAACTAGGAGTGTGTGCTTTGCATTGTGCGTGTATGTGCATGTGCATTTGCATGTGAGGGCTCATGGCTGTGTGTGCTTGCCTTCTGTACACGTATATGCATATGGGCTTGTGTGCATGTGTGAGGCTTGCAAGAATGCGTGCATGCACCTGCACGTGAGGGCTCATGACTGTGAATGTGTGCTTGCCTTCTGTACACATATATGCATATGGGCTTGTGTGCATGTGTGGGGTTTGCAAGAATGCGTGCATGCACCTGCACGTGAGGGCTCATGACTGAATGTGTGCTTGCCTTCTGTACACCTCTGTGCAGAGATACTTGTGTGCATCTGTGCATGTGGGAGCTTGAATGAATGCATGCATGCAGTTGTATGTGAGCGCTCATGACTATCAGTGTGTGCTTGACTTCTGTACAAATATATGCATATGGGCTTGTGTGCATGTGTGGGGTTTGCAAGAATGCATGCATGCACCTGCACGTGAGGGCTCATGGCTGTGTGTGCTTGCCTTCTGTACATGTATATGCATATGTGCTTGTGTGCATGTGTGGGGCTTGCAAGAATGCGTGCATGCGCCTGCATGTGAGGGCTCATGACTGTGAATGTGTGCTTGCCTTCTGTACACGTATATGCATATGTGCTTGTGTGCATGTGTGAGGCTTGCAAGAATGCGTGCATGCACCTGCACATGAGGGCTCATGACTGTGAATGTGTGCTTGCCTTCTGTACACATATATGCATATGGGCTTGGGTGCATGTGTGAGGTTTGCAAGAATGCATGCATGCACCTGCACGTGAGGGCTCATGGCTGTGGGTGTGTGCTTGCCTTCTGTACACGTATATGCATATGAGCTTGTGTGCATGTGTGGGGTTTGCAAGAATGCGTGCATGCACCTGCACGTGAGGGCTCATGACTGTGAATGTGTGCTTGCCTTCTGTACACCTCTGTGCAGAGATACCTGTGTGCATCTGTGCATGTGGGGGCTTGAATGAATGCATGCATGCAGTTGTATGTGAGCGCTCATGACTATCAGTGTGTGCTTGCCTTCTGTACACATATATGCATATGGGCTTGTGTGCATGTGTGGGGCTTGCAAGAATGCGTGCATGCACCTGCACGTGAGGGCTCATGACTGTGAATGTGTGCTTGCCTTCTGTACACATATATGCATATGGGCTTGTGTGCATGTGGAGGCTTGAATGAATGCATGCATGCACCTGCACGTGAGGGCTCATGGCTGTGGGTGTGTGCTTGCCTTCTGTACACATATATGCATATGGGCTTGTGTGCATGTGTGGGGTTTGCAAGAATGCGTGCATGCACCTGCACGTGAGGGCTCATGACTGAATGTGTGCTTGCCTTCTGTACACCTCTGTGCAGAGATACCTGTGTGCATCTGTGCATGTGGGAGCTTGAATGAATGCATGCATGCAGTTGTATGTGAGCGCTCATGACTATCAGTGTGTGCTTGACTTCTGTACACATATATGCATATGGGCTTGTGTGCATGTGTGGGGTTTGCAAGAATGCATGCATGCACCTGCACGTGAGGGCTCATGGCTGTGTGTGCTTGCCTTCTGTACATGTATATGCATATGCACTTGTGTGCATGTGTGGGGCTTGCAAGAATGCGTGCATGCACCTGCACGTGAGGGCTCATGACTGTGAATGTGTGCTTGCCTTCTGTACACATATATGCATATGGGCTTGTGTGCATGTGTGGGGTTTGCAAGAATGCGTGCATGCACCTGCACGTGAGGGCTCATGACGGTGGGTGTGTGCTTGCCTTCCGGACATGTGCGCATGTGTGTGGGGGCACGCACTTAATACCGTCCCCTGTTCATCTCTCAGATTGCCCTTTTCTTCTACGTTCTACCCCCAACAGGCCAGGCCTGTTCTCCCACCTCCCTCGCTGAAACCCCATCTCCTCCGTCCTTCTCTCTGGTCCTGTGTGTTTGTGAGCTTGGAGGACAGTGCCTTCATCCAAAATTATATCAACCAGCAAGATTACACCCTCTTTCTTCTGAAGCTCCCAAAGGCATCTCTATAAATCCCTTGTTCTTCCTTCCTTCGGAGGTGGAGATTTGTACAAGGCAGGACTAATCCCAGGGCCAGAAAGCCACCTCTCTTCACCTTCAGGTGGGCCAGAGCTGAGCCACAGTCCACTGCCCACTCATAAGACACCTCGGGCCGGGCGCAGTGACTCACGCTTGTAATCCCAGCACTTTGGGAGGCCAAGGCAGGTGCATCACCTGAGGTCAAGAGTTCAAGACCAGCCTGGCCAATATGGAGAAACCCTGTCTTTACTAAAAAAAAAAAAAAAAAAAAAAAAAAGTCGGGCACGGTGGCTCACGCCTGTAGTCCCAGCACTCTGAGAGGCCGAGGCGGGCGGATCACGAGGTCAGGAGATCGAGACCATCCTGGCTAACACGGTGAAACCCCGTCTCTTCTAAAAATACAAAAAATTAGCCGGGTGCAGTGGCGGGTACCTGTAGTCCCAGCGACTCGGGAGGCTGAGGCAGGAGAATGGTGTGAACCCGGGAGGCAGAGGTTGCAGTTAGCCGAGATCGCGCCACTGCACTCCAGCCTGGGCGACAGAGCGAGACTCCATCTCAAAAAAAAAAGAAAGAAAGAAAGAAAAATACAAAATACAAAATTAGTTGGGCATGGTGGCACATGCTTGTAATCCCAGCTACTTGGGAGGCTGAGGCAAGAGAATCGCTTGAACCCGGGAGGCAGAGGTTGCTGTGAGCCGAGATCACGCCAGTGAACTCCAGCTTGGACAACAAGAGTGAAACTCCATCTCAAAAAAAAAAAAAAAAAGAGAGAGAGAGAGAGAGAGACCTCAGCCACCACTGCTCACATAATCCTTCTCCCCTCGTTAGATGTTATCTGCAGGCTGCACTGTCAGAAAAGTATCATCCCAGAGACAAACCATTCATCTGTCAAATACACACAGTTTGCACGGAAGGCGTGGAGACACCCACGTTATGGGTGCATTCGCCCAGGTTTAAGGTCTAGTTAGCACTGGGCTTGGCAAAGAGCATGACTTTTCCTCCTTCTGCGTCCGGTCTTCTGAGCCATGTGCTAATATCCTGGGACTCTGTCTGGTTTTGTTTTTTTTTTTTAACATTGCCTAAATCATATTTTCCATTTAAAGAAATTTCTAAAGAACAGTTGGCAAGTATTCAGGTCACCTTCTCCCCAGGGCTCACTTAGCACCTGCATGTAGATGGAGTGTTCCGCGCCGGCCGTCAACACCAATCGCGGCTGCATCACTCACGCAGTCAGCGTCCTGCTGCTGGCCGGCTCCAGCTGGACATCCTGTCTGCCGCTCTGAAAAGCAATCACATCATACTGGAACACCAGAGTGTCCAAAGCACACCTCAGCCTCTGCAGTGCCCATCTCACAGTCTCTAAAGCACACCTCAGAGTCTGCAATGCACACCTCAGAGTCTCCCGTACCCATCTCAGTCTCCAGTGCCCACGTCAGAGTGTCCAATGCACACCTCAGTGTCTGCAGTGCACACCTCAGGGTCTCCAATGCACATATCGGAATCTCCAAAGCACATCTCAGAGTCTCCAATGCCCATCTCAGTCTCCAATGCCCACGTCAGAGTCTCCAATGCACACCTCAGGGTCTCCAATGCCCATCTCAGAGTCTCCAAAGCACACGTCAGAGTCTCCAGTGCCCATCTCAGAGTCTCCAATGCACATCTCAGAGTCTCCAGTGCCCATCTCAGAGTCTCCAAAGCACAGCTCAGAATCTCCAATGCCCATCTCAGAGTCTCCAATGCACATCTGAGAGTCTCCAATGGACACCTCAGAGTCTCCAAAGCACATCTCAGAGTCTCCAAAGCACACCTCAGAGTCTCCAATGCACATCTTAGTCTCCAGTGCCCATCTCAGAGTCTCCAATGCACATCTCAGAATCTCCAGTGCCCATCTCAGAGTCTCCAAAGCACAGCTCAGAATCTCCAATGCCCATCTCAGAGTCTCCAATGCACATCTGAGAGTCTCCAATGGACACCTCAGAGTCTCCAAAGCACATCTCAGAGTCTCCAAAGCACATCTCAGAGTCTCCAAAGCACACCTCAGAGTCTCCAATGCACATCTTAGTCTCCAGTGCCCATCTCAGAGTCTCCAATGCACATCTCAGAATCTCCAAAGCACAGCTCAGAGTCTCCAATGCACATCTCAGAATCTCCAAAGCACAGCTCAGAGCCTCCAGTGTCCATCTCAGAGTCTCCAATGCACACCTCAGAGTCTCCAATGCGCATCTCAGAATCTCCAAAGCACAGCTCAGAGCCTCCAGTGTCCATCTCAGAGTCTCCAATGCCCATTCAGAATCTCCAGTGCACATCTCAGAGTCTGCAATGCTCATCTCAGAGTCTCCAGTGCATGTGGGTGTACCAGCACCTGCCTCTAAGAATGCTTCAGCTCATGTTGAACGAACATGTCTTCAGCACCCCTGTACTGGGTGTTTTACAGGCATTGTTTCTGCACATCAAAAAAATTCCAGACTCAAATGCTTGCAGGAGGAGGCAGGTCAGGTCAGTAAGGCAGGCCTGATGTGAGAGAGACATCGGGGAGCAGTGGAGACTGCGGCGAACATCCCATCCAGCCCACTGGTGTTGGGCAAGAATGAAGGCACGGGTTGGCCGCCCCTTCCAAAAATATTTCAAGGAACCCAGGAATTGGGTGTTCATGATCAGTGGGCCAGTGTTTAAAATATTAGCATTAATTTAAGGATACTGTCTCTTCCAAGAAAAATACGATGGCCAGCTACTTTACAATGTCGTCTCTGTTTTCTTGCGTTCATTCTGCAAGTCACAAATTACCAGATAAAAATGTGAGTTTAGGCAAGTTTTATAAATTGTCTGAGGACTGAGCAGGAAAGGGTAGGACCTGGAATTTCAACTCAGAGGCCAGTTTCAAAGACAATCTAAGCTCCCCACGGCATGAGGCCCCCCAAAAGTGTCATTCATTTCAGAATTGGATTCCTCTTCAAAGAGGCGAGGCTTAAGGAACCAAGCTTAGATTTCATGGGTAACTTAATCCAGTATGAGGCATCATTGCTTTTCCTTTCTTACAGCCTTTTTGTCTCTCTTTTCTCTTTCTTTTCTTTCATTTCTTTTTCCTTCCTTCCTTCCTTTCTTCCTTTCTGTCTTTGTCTTTCTTTTCTTTCTTCCTTCCTTCCTTTCTTCCTTTCCCTTCGTTTCTTTTTCTTGTCTTTCTTTTTTCCTTCTTTCCTTCCTTTCTTCCTGTCTCTTTCTTTCTTTTTTCCTTCCTTCCTTTCTTCCTCTTTCTTTCTTTTCTTTCTCTTACTTTCTTTTTTCTTCTTTCATTCCTTTCTTCCCCTCTGTCTCTTTCTTTTTCCTTCCTTCCTTTTCTTCTTTCTTTCTTTCTTTCTTCTTTTTCCTTCCTTCCTTCCTTCCTTCCTTCCTTCCTTCCTTCCTTCCTTCCATCCTGTCTCTTTCTTCTCTTTCTCTTTGTGTTTCTTACAGGGTCTCTGTCTGCTGCCCAGGCTGGAGGGCGGTGGTGCAATCTTGGCTCATTGCAGCCTCCAACTCCTGGGCTCAAGCAATCCTCCCACTTCAGCCTCCCTGAGTAGCTGAGACCACAGACAAGCTGAGACCACAGCTCACTGCAACCTCTGCCTCCCTGAGTAGCTGAGACCACAGACAAGGGACACCACACCTGGCTACTTTTTTTATTTTTATTTTTTGTAAAGATAGGGTCTCCCTAAGTTGCCCAGGCTGGTCTTGAATGCCTGGCCTCTGGCAATCCTCCTGCCTTGGCCTCCCAAAGTGCTGGGATTACAGGCATGAGCCACCATGCCTGGCCAATTACTGTGTTTTAAAAGTACATGGCCAGACACAGTGGCTCATGCCTGTAATCCCAGCACACAGTGGCTCATGCCTGTAATCCCAGCGCTTTGGGAAGCTGAGACAGGTGGATCACGAGGTCAGGAGATTGAGACCATCCTGGCTAATGCGGTGAAACCCCGTCTCTACTAAATAATACAAAAAATTATCTGGACGTGGTGGTGGGCGCCTGTAGTCCCAGCTACTCAGGAGACTGAGGCAGGAGAATGGCGTGAACCAGGGAGGCAGAGGTTGCAGTGAGCCGAGATTGTACCACTGCACTTCAGCCTGGACAACAGAGCCAGACTCCATCTCAAAATAAATAAATAAAAATTAAGTCATGAAATGTAGCTTCAAATGTACATGAAGGGCCGGGCGCGGTGGCTCATGCCTGTAATCCCAGCACTTTGGGAGGCCGAGGCAGGCAAATCACCTGAGGTCAGCAGTTCGAGACCAGCCTGACCAACATGGTGAAACCCCATCTTTACTAAAAATACAAAAATTAGCTGGGCATGATGGTGCATGCCTGTAATTCCAGCTACTTGGGAGGCTGAGGCAAGGCTTGAACCCGGGAGGCAGAGGTTGCAGTGAGCCAAGATCACGCCACTGCACTCCAGCCTGGGTGACAGAGCAAGACCCTGTCCCAAAAAAAACAAAAAAAATGTAGGTGAATATTACATCTCTACATTCAGAAGTACTTTCCAAGAATAAAAACAATGGAAGAAATTATATGAACAAGACTGATCAATTTGACTACATTCAATTTTAAAACTCTTTAGGTTTAAAAAACAATTTCAAGTAGCATAAAAGAAGTTGAAAAATATTGATAAAATATGCCAATGATAAAAGAGCCTGTGTCCTTAATATATAAAGAGCTCTTACAAATCAACAAGAATGATTGCTATTTATTGAATGCTTTCTGTGCATTAAAATTCTGTGCTACTCAATGTACATATATTATCTGGTTTAAATGTCATAAAAACTCTAGGCAATTTGCTACAGACGGAGAAAGTGAAAATTAAAGGCATAAATTAACTTCTCCGGAGAAACGGAGCTAGTAAATTGTCGTGTTGTGTTTGGATTCAAACCCAGTTCTGTGTGACTCTGAAGTTCAGGGCCCTAAGAACTGGTAAACACTGGAAAAATAAGCAAACATCTCAAGTAATTTACAAAAGAGAAACACACATGGCTTGTAAACATGAAAAAGAATTGTCCCCCACTAAAAAGTCGTCTTTAAATGCCAAGTCAAAACAATGGATGCCGTTTTGAAACTATGAAATTTGCAGAATTCCTCATTTTCTTTTTAAAATGAACCTCAATGTTCATCACAGCGTAAGTCCCGGGCGACCTCTTGCTCTGCCGGCAGGAACGTAAATTAGAACAGCTTTTCCCGCAAGCCGTTTGAGACTATGAATAGTGCCTTTTAGCAGTTGGTATATGAAATCCAATAATTTTACCTGAAGGAGTCAATCTTAACAATCCACGTTTTATGAGCTAGAAGGTTTAGGGAATCATCTACATTCTCTTAAATAACAGCCTGGTCAAATAGCTGCCGGCGGACCTAGAAGGATCCGTGTCACGTAGGAATCCAAAATCTTGTTTTTGAGAAAGACGTAATAACATTAAGACATGCTCCTGATACAAGGTTCCTAAAATGTGGTCATCTGCAGGTTCGGGGACCCACGGGGGAGAGGGACGCGGTGTCACCGTATTCTAGGTCTTCCCGGGCCATCCTTTATCAGAAACGGGATGAGTTTCCACCAAGAAATTGGGCCCCACCGAGGCCTTCATTGATCTTCACCTAGAAGCTACGTCAAAGCCAGTGTCACTCAGGCCCAGGCGGAAAAACGTCCCACGCAGAATTTCAGGGAATGAGGAACCAGGATGTCTGCAGACCAGGAGTCCAAGGAATACTGCCTGTTGAGGTGAGCATTACAGGCCTGCTGTATACACACCAGGCAGGAAGGCCACAGGCCGACTGTATACATCCCACTCCTGGGAGGGAGACCACAGGCCAACTGTATACATATCACTCTAGGGAGGGAGACCACAGGCCGACTGTATACATATCACTCTAGGGAGGGAGACCACAGGCCGGCTGTATACATCCCACTCCTGGGAGGGAGACCACAGGCCAACTGTATACATATCACTCCTGGGAGGGAGACCGCAGGCTGCTGTATACATCCTTCTCTAGAAAGAGAGACCACAGGCCGACTGTATACATCCCACTCCTGGGAGGGAGACCACAGGCCGACTGTATACATCCCACTCCTGGGAGGGAGACTGCAGGCTGCTGTATACATCCTTCTCTAGAAAGAGAGACCACAGGCCGGCTGTATACATTCCACTCCTGGGAGGGAGACCACAGGCCGGCTGTATACATCCCACTCCTGGGAGGGAGACCACAGGCTGACTGTATACATCCCACTCCTGGGAGGGAGACTGCAGGCTGCTGTATACATCCTTCTCTAGAAAGAGAGACCACAGGCCGGCTGTATACATTCCACTCCTGGGAGGGAGACCACAGGCTGCTGTATACATCCCACTCCTGGGAGGGAGACCACAGGCCGGCTGTATACATCCTTCTCTAGAAAGAGAGACCACAGGCCGGCTGTATACATTCCACTCCTGGGAGGGAGACCGCAGGCCGACTGTATACATCCCACTCCTGGGAGGGAGACCACAGGCCGGCTGTATACATCCTTCTCTAGAAAGAGAGACCACAGGCCGGCTGTATACATCCCACTCCTGGGAGGGAGACCACAGGCCAACTGTATACATATCACTCTAGGGAGGGAGACCACAGGCCGGCTGTATACATATCACTCCTAGGAGGGAGAGCACAGGCCGGCTGTATACATTCCACTCCTGGGAGGGAGACTGCAGGCTGCTGTATACATCCTTCTCTAGAAAGAGAGACCACAGGCCGGCTGTATACATCCCACCCCTGGGAGGGAGACCGCAGGCCGACTGTATACATTCCACTCCTGGGAGGGAGACCACAGGCCGGCTGTATACATCCTTCTCTAGAAAGAGAGACCACAGGCCGGCTGTATACATTCCACTCTAGGGAGGAAGAGACCACAGACCAACTGTATACATCCCACTCTAGAGAGGGAGGCCACAGGCCAGCTGTATACATCCCACACTAGAGAGACAGACCATAGGCCGGCTGTATACATCCCACACTAGGAAGAAAGAAACCACGGGCTGACTATATACATCCCCCTCTAGGGAGAAACACCACAGGCCAACTGTATACATCCCACACTAGAGAGACAGACCACAGGCCGGCTGTATACATCCCACTCTAGGAAGAAAGAAACCGCAGGCCGGCTGTATACATCCCACTCTACAGAGGGAGACAACAGACCAGCTGTATACATCCCACACTAGAAAGACAGACTGCAGGCCAACCGTATACATCTCACTCTAGGGAGGGAGAGACCACAGGCCAGCTGTATACATCCCATTCTAGGAAGGCATATATACACACAATCGCATTGAAACATTTAGAACTAACTCAGATTCAGTGTGCCACCAGTGGATATTGGGAAAGTGGGAAAGTGGCTTTATAATTTAAGAAGCAATGTGTCAGAGATGGTTAAATTAAGTTTCTGTCTGTAACAAAATCCATACATCTATGTACGTATGTGTGATAAATATAGATGTATGCATATATATGGTCAGGTATGTGTGTATATAAACGTGTGTGTAGAGGCCGGATGCGGTGGCTCACGCCTGTCATCCCAGCACTTTGGGAGGCCGAAGTGGGTGGATCACGAGGTCAGGAGTTTCAGACCAGCCTGGCCAACGGGGTGAAATCCCGTCTCTACTAAAAATACAAACATTAGCCGGGCGTGGTGGCGGGCGCCTGTAGTCCCAGCTACCTGGGAGGCTGAGGCAGGAGAATCGCTTGAACCCGGGAGGCGGAGGTTGCAGTGAGCCGAGATCGCGCCACTGCACTCCGGCCTGGTGACAGAGCGAGACTCCATCTCAAAAAAAATGAAATAAAATAAAATGACAGTAAAACAAAATAACATGACACACCGAATATCAGGTTAAAACTAGAAAGTTGGGGCAACGATTCAGGTGCTTGGCCTCTGTCTCCAAATCTGGTTGCAGCTATAGACAACGTCTAAATTTTTTTGCCTGTGTTTTCAGCCAGACAAACGTTTGCCTTCCTGTTCCCTCCAGGGGGAGAGCGCTCGATTGACTTTATTTTCATCTCGATGAATGATTGCATGTATTCTGCACCTCCCTTCCCGCCCAGACCTACCTTATCATAGACGGTGTGCGTGACTGAACACGATCATTTCAGCTCCTAGCCTTGAAATAAAACGCCGCTTGCCGACGGACGTCTGCAATGATGATGTAATTTCAGCCTTGTTGTTCCAGGAAAGCTTTGTCCCTGAATCACCTAAAACAAACAAACAAAAAAAGGTGGGTTGTCGGGGAAGGAGACCCGTGGTGTCTACATTCATATCTATCTCACTCTATCTACCAGGCGGATTTGCATTTGGGGACATTTGCCCCCACCCCGAGTCCCCGGTTCACAAAGGCAACGGTACGTGTAATCTTCTGAGTTGACAATGATGTATGGCTCCGGAGAAACGCACTATTCAGAAATTATCATGGAACAGACACTCCCCCACCCTCTACATTACTTCTTACGTCAACAAATGCACCGCCGTTTCTCCAGAGGCCGCCAAACTTGCGGCCACCTCGTTCTACAAGGAGGCGAGCCAGCCAGACTCATGGTGGCGAGCGAGAAAACGCCGTTCCCGGGGGCTTAGAGGTTCTCCTTTGCACAAAGCCTGGGAGTTTTGTTAGTGACTTCAGAGTCAGGTCCCGTACCAACAACACCGTCCGATCTAGACGGCATCCTCCTGGTGGGAAATTGCCTTATTTCTCCCTCTTAAGCAAGTGATTTGAATTAGGATTTGTTTTTCTTTCTGTCTTTCTTTCTTTCTTTCTTTCTTTCTTTCTCTCTCTCTTTCTCTCTTCTTTTCCTTTCTTTCTCTTTCCTTCTTTCTTTCTTCCTGATCTCTCCCTCTTAAGCAACTGATTTGAATTAGAATTGGTTTTTTCTTTTCTTCTTTCTCTTTCCTTTCTTCCTTCTCTCTCTCTCTTTCTTTCTTTCCTCCTTCTTTCTTTGTGCATTTGCAGTTGGCTACTTGTTACTACTTGTCCAAACAGCTGGGGAACCTGGCCGGGCATGGTGGCTCACACCTGTCACCCCAGCACTTTAGTTGGGAACTTCCTGATCTCTCCCTCTTAAGCAACTGATTTGAATTAGAATCTTCCTTCCTTCTTTCTTTCCTCCCTCCCTTCCCTCCTTCCTTCCTCCCTCCCTCTCCTTCCTTCCTCCCTCCCTTCCCTCCTTCCTTCCTCCCTCTCCTTCCTTCCTCCATCTCCTTCCTTCCTCTCCTTCCTCCCTCCCTCTCCTTCCTCCCTCTCCTTCCTCCGTCTCCTTCCTTCCTTCCTCCCTCCCTCTCCTTCCTTCCTCCCTCTCCTTCCTCCCTGTCTCCTTCCTTCTTTCCTTCCTCCCTCTCCTTCCTTCCTCCCTCTCCTTCCTTCCTCCGTCTCCTTCCTCCCTCCCTCTCCTTCCTCCCTCCCTCTCCTTCCTCCCTCCCTCTCCTTCCTTCCTCCCTCTCCTTCCTCCCTGTCTCCTTCCTCCCTCTCCTTCCTTCCTCCCTCTCCTTCCTTCCTCCCTCTCCTTCCTCCGTCTCCTTCCTTCCTTCCTCCCTCCCTCTCCTTCCTCCCTCCCTCTCCTTCCTCCGTCTCCTTCCTTCCTTCCTCCCTCCCTCTCCTTCCTCCCTCCCTCTCCTTCCTCCGTCTCCTTCCTTCCTTCCTCCCTCCCTCTCCTTCCTTCCTCCCTCTCCTTCCTCCCTCTGTCTCCTTCCTTCTTTCCTTCCTCCCTCTCCTTCCTTCCTCCCTCTCCTTCCTCCGTCTCCTTCCTTCTTTCCTTCCTCCCTCTCCTTCCTTCCTTCTTTCCTTCCTTCCTTCCCTCCCTCCCTCTCCTTCCTTCCTCCCTCCCTCCCTCCTTCTCTCTCTCTCTTTCTCTCTTTCTTTTTTTTTTCTTTCTGCAGTTGCAGTAAGCTTTTCTGGATTTGCAGAAACTATAGGCCGGCCGTATGCATCCGGCATACAGCTTATGTTATGGACAGTATGTTAGCACTTGTCCAACCTGGCCGGGCACGGTGGCTCACAGCTGTCACCACAGCACTTTGGAAGCTGGGAAGAGTGCTTGAGCCTAGGGGTTCCCAACCAGGCCAGGCAACATAGTGAGACTCCCCTTCTAGGCAAAAAATTAAAAAATTAGCTGGGCATGGTGGTGTACACCGGTAGTCCCAGTGACTCAGGAGGCTAAAACGGGAGGATTGCTTGAGCCTGAGAGGTTGAGGCTGCAGTGAGCTATGATCCTGCCACTGCACTCCAGCCTGGGCAATAGAGCAAGACCCTGTCTCTTAATAATAATAATCATTAGTATTATACTTCCCAGGGAGTATATTATTACTACTATATTATAAAATAGATACCATATTATAATGTATAATATAATACATAAATATATATTATTATGTATTAAATATTATATATCATTATATATTAAATACAATACATAAATGTTATATAATATAATGTAAATGTTATATAAAATATAATAAATATATTAATATATTAATATAATTACATATTAATCATATAATGTTTTATATTATATATTAACATAGTAAAATATGTAATTATATTATATATAATATATTAATTATAATATATTAATTAATAATATGCGATTATTATTATATATTGGCCAAACGCAGTGGCTAACACCTGTAATCTCAGCACTTTGGGAGGCTGAGGCAGGCGGATCACCTGAGGTCAGGAGTTTGAGACCAGCCTGACCAACATGGAGAAACTCTGTCTCTACTAAAAATACAAAATTAGCCGGGTGTGATGGCGCATGCCTGTCATCCCAGCTACTCCGGAGGCTGAGGCAGGAGAATCGCTTGAACCCGGGAAGCAGAGGTTGTGGTGAGCTGAGATCGCTCCCCTGCACTCCAACCTGGGCAACAAGAGCGAAACTCCGTCTCAAAAAACATATATATACATAATTATATATTAATATAATTATTATTGTAGTAATATCACATAATATATAATTATTTTATTATTATAGAATTTTTATTACAAATTATATTATAAAATTATTTTATTAATTATATTATTACATAATTATTTTATTAATTATTATGGAATTTTTATTACAAGTTATATTTATTATAAAATTATTTATTATAAAATTTATAAAATTTATTATAAATTATTTTATTAATTATATTATTATATAATTATTTTATTACTATAGAATATTTTGTTATACGTTATATTTATACAATTATTTTATTAATTATTAAAAATAATATTTTATTAATTATTAAAATATTTTATTTATTATAAAGCAATATTTTATTATTATAAAATAGTATTTATTATTATAAAATAATATTTTATTAATTATAAAATATAATTATATTATTATTATACAAAATAGCAGGGGAAGGCAAGGATATTTAAGGGTGTTTTATGTGGTACAATGAGTCTCCAAAACACACAGCCACCTCCAGGATACGAAGCTCCCACCTCCAGCCCCCCGGAGTGCCCAGAGCCGCCCTCTTCCCGGACAATTGTCCCACAGACGCCATGAGAGAGACGGCACCAGCTTCTCCGGATCAAGGCGCCTTAACTTTCTATAACTCTCTAATCATTCGGAAGATTCCCAAACAGCAGTGTCAGAGGTGTTGGAAGTAAAGCAACTCCACTTTCAACAGGGGCTGGGTAAAATGAGGCTGAGACCTTCTGGGCTGCATTCTCAGAAGGTTCAGATTTTTTTTTTTCTTTTTTTTAAGACAGAGTCTCGCTCTCTCACCCAGGCTAGAGTGCAGTGGTGCAATCTCAGCTCCACTGCAAGCTCCGCCTCCCGGGTTCAAGCGATTCTCCTGCCTCAGCCTCCTGAGTAGCTGGGATTACAGGCACGCGCCACCACACGCCCGGCTAATTTTTGTATTTTTATTACAGACGGGGTTTCACCGTGCTGGCCAGGCTGGTCTTGAACTCCTGACCTCGTGATCCACCCACCTTGGCCTCCCAAAGTTCTGGGATTGCAGGTGCGAGCCTCCACGCCCGGCTAATTTTGTATTTTTAGTAGAGACGGGGTTTCGCCATGTTGGTCAGGCTGGTCTCAAACTCCCGACCTCAGGTGATCCGCCCGCCTTGGCCTCCGAAAGTTCTGGGATTACAGGCATGCACCTCCACGCCTGGCTAATTTTGTATTTTTAGTAGAGACGGGGTCTCGCTATGTTGGTCAGGCTGATCTGGAACTCCCAACCTCAGGTGATCCACCTGCCTCGGCCTCCCCAGGTTAAGGCATTCTAACCTACAGGTTGAGATAGGAGGTTGGCACAAGACAGAGGTCATAAAGAGTTGCTGATAAAACAGCTCGCAGTGAAGAAGCCGGCCAAATCCCGCCAAAACCAAGATGGCAACGAAAGTGACCTCAGGTTGTCCTCACCGCACTAATTGTACCTTACACTAACTGTAATTCATTTGCTGCTAAAAGACACTCCCACCAGCACCAGGACCATTTACAGATGTCATAGCCACGCAGGAAGTTACCCTGTATGTCCTAAAAACAGGAGGCATGAGGCCGGGCGCGGTGGCTCACGCCTGTCATCCCAGGCTGGTCTCGAACTCCTGACCTCAGGTCATCCACCCTCTTCAGCCTCCCAAATACCTTGTTTATTAAAAGGCATCTTTGGGCCGGGCACGGTGGCTCACGCTTGTCATCCCAGCACTTTAGGAGGCCGAGGCGGGCGGATCACGAGGTCAGGAGATCGAGACCATCCTGGCTAACACGGTGAAACCCCGTCTCTACTAAAAATACAAAAAATTAGCCGGGCGTGGTGGTGGGTGCCTGCAGTCCCAGCTACTCGGGAGGCTGAGGCAGGAGAATCGCTTGAACCCGAGAGGCGGAGGTTGCAGTGAGCCAAGATCGCACCATTGCACTCCAGCCTGGGTGACAGAGCAAGACTCTGTCTCAAAAAAAATAAATAAATAAAATAAAATTTAAGAAGCAGATAAATAAGTGACTAGAGCCCCGCCTGGTTTCAGCTCATCTCCAAAGATGACCAAAGGAGGGATGAGTTATTTTCCCAGCATGGTCCTCAGAGACCCCTCTCCTGCACCCCAGGGACTCGAGAAGTCAAGGCTTGGTTTCCCGCTGTTCTCACCAAAAATAACCCGATCCCCTAACCTCCCTTTGAAATACCGGAAAAAAAAAATCAGGACGGCTCACGGAGGCAACACTGCTACACAGATACCTTCTTTGGAGCGAGGATGAATTTTAAATGATCACAAGAAAAAGAGATGTTTCATGAGAGAGATGCCAGGCACAGCCCGTGGCCCCCTGGGATCACCAAAAATCTGGTACTGGGGGATCGCCACCGTCTCAGGAAGGGGGCTGCAAGCATCCCAGGCAGGAGGGGACGGAGAGTGATGAGCTTTGCACCGATGGAAATAAAAATAGAACACTGTGTTATGGAGAGAATGACAAGTTAAATGACAAGCATTTAACCGTCTCTGTGCGCAGAAATGCGGACGGCTGCAGAAATGCAATAGAGGATTTTCTCCTGTTGCTTCCAAGTGAATGAGGGCCTGGGGACCATCCTGTACCCGTCTGCCTGTGCTCCGGAAGGCTGGATGCTTCGGGAAGGAGGCCAGGAGGCAGGACCAGCCGGAGACCGGGTCTGCACCTGTCACGGGTGAGCAGCGTTTGCTGGCTCGGGCAGACGGGGTTTCACCTGTAATGCCCAACCTCCTTTTTACTAACCCTGTTTTTAGACTCTCCCTTTTCCTTCAATCACCTAGCCTTGTTTCCACCTGAATGGACTCACCCTTAGCTAAGAGAACCAGACAGACTCCATCATGGCTCTTTCACTGGCAGCCCCTTCCTCAAGGACTGAACTCGTGCAAGCTGACTCCCAGCACATCCAAGAATGCAATTAACTGATAAGATACTGTGGCGAGCTATATCCGCAATTCCCAGGAATTCGTCTGATTACTAACGCCCGAAGCCCTGCGTCTATCACCTTGTAATAGTCTTAAAGGCCCTGCACCTGTTTACTTCCCTGTAACCATTTATCCTTTTAACTTTTTTGCCTACTTTATTTCTGTAAAATGGTTTTCGCTAGATCCCCCTCCCCTTTCTAAACCAAAGTATAAAAAAAAAATCTAGCCCCTTCTTCGGGGCCGAGAGAACTTTGAGCGTTAGCCGTCTCTTGGCCGCCGGCTAAATAAACGGACTCTTAATTCGTCTCAAAGTGTGGCGTTTTCTCTAACTCGCTCCAGGTACAACACGGGAACATCCTTTACCCAACTGATGCCTGTGCAGACGTCGCTAACAAATGCTGCTCACCTGTGACAGGTGCAGACCGGTGTCCGGCTGGCTGGACGTCTGGACATCTGGACGTCTGGAGGGCGGCCGGCCGGTCCTGCCTCCTGACCTCCTTCCCCAAGCATCCAGCCTTCCGGAGCTTCTCCGTGCCCTCCCCTTCCTTCTTTCTTTCCTCCTGTACATTGCCTAGAAATCGCCAGAAAGCTGCCACCGCGTCTACAGAAACAAAAACATTATCTTCGGGAGCACGCTGGGTGCATTTAAACCGACCCCACTGCCTTCTTCTAAACTGGGATCTGGAAGGAATGCTGAAGGATCTGGAAGGAATGCTGAAGGATCTGGAAGGAATGCTGAAGGATCTGGAAGGAATGCTGAAGGATCTGGAAGGAATGCTGAAGGATCTGGAAGGAATGCTCAGCATCCTATGGATTTTTTTTTTTTTTTTGGCTCTTTTTCCTTCTAAGATGACAGTGAGGCTGTTAAGCATAATAATTGTCCCTGAGTGAGTCACCCTCGCTGTTCCGCTTTTGCCTCCAAGGCAGGCTCTCCGCCCCCCGCAGAGGTCAGGGGTCACGTCTGCTAAATCACGCAATATCCCCGAATCCCAGGCGAATGAGGCCCTTCACAAACTGCTGCTGGTGATTAAACCAGCCCGGCATGAAACGCGGGCTCTAAATTGCGATTATTTGAATGATGGATGGCGTGTCTAACGAGACCATTATTGCCACGAGTGACCTTCTGGGCTGAAGACGGTTTCGATATAAGCAACACTCTCACGCGGCCGGGGTGATGGCCGTGTGCACCTGTGTGTGCGTGCCCGCGTGTGCACGTGTGTGTGTGTGATGCGTGCACCTGTGTGTGTCCTCGCTCTCTCTAGAGCTTGTCTCCGATTCTTTGAACTGCCACACAGGCAATGCCACCCTCACTGGATGTGTCATCCGAGCAGTCCCCTTAATGAGACCATTTTCATACACCTGGGCTGAAAGTGCCCCACGCCTAAAATACTCACGGGGTGAAACTTGAGTTCCCGTGCGTGCGTGTCCTCGTCCTCCATGGTAGGGAAAAAGAAAAAGGAATGGGAGAGAAAAGGGGTGTCTCCGGGAAGCCACTCACACATGCAGATGTAATTAAGTTGAGGATCTTGAGGTGAGATCATCCTGGATTAGGTGAGCTCTAAATGCAATGACAGGTGTCCTTGTAAGAGACAGAAGAGGACACACAGACACAGAGGAGAAGTCCACGTGGAGACGGAGGCAGAGACTGGAGTGATGCGGCCACAAGCCCAGGGACACCTGGAGCCCCCAGGAGCTGGGAGAGGCAGGAAGGATCCTGCCCTAGAACCTCTACAAGGAAGTGGATACAATTGTAATGGATTGAACAGTGGCCCCCAGAAAGATCTGTCCACATCCTAAAGCCCAGAACCTAGAATGAGATATCGTTTGGAAATAGGGTCTCTGCAAATGTGATTAAGTGAAGGATCTTGAGATGAGATGATCATGAATGAGGGTGGACCCTAAATGCAATGACAGGTGACTTTCTAAGAGACAGAAGAGGAGACACAGACACAGAGGAGAAGTCCACGTGGAGACGGAGGCAGAGACTGGAGTGAGGCGGCCACAAGCCCAGGGATGCCTGGAGCCCCCAGGAGCTGGGAGAGGCAGGAAGGACCCTCCCCTAGAACCTCCAGAAGGAACTGGATACAATCGGAATGGGTTGAACCATAGTCTCCCCGAAAAGCTATGTCTACATCCTAACTCCCTCAACCCATGAATGGAATCTTATTCGGATATGAGGTCTTTACAGATGTAACTAAGTCAAGGATTTCGAAATGAGATGATCCTGGATTAGGTGAGTCCTAAATCCATTGACAGGTGTCCTTCTAAGAGACAGAAGAGGAGACACAGACACAGAGGAGAAGGCCACGTGGAGAACAGAGGCAGAGACTGGAGTGATGCGGCCACAAGCCCAGGAAGCCTGGAGCCCCCAGGAGCTGGGAGAGGCAGGAAGGACCCTCCCCTAGGGCCTCTGGAGGGAGCTCAGCCCTGAGACCGCTTCATCTCAGACTCCTGGTCTGCAGGACTGGGAGAGGATAAATTTCTGTTGTTTTAAGCTCCCAGTATCTGTGAATGAGAACTTATTTGAAAATAGGGTCTTTGCAGACACAGTTAACTCAAGAAGTTTGAGATGAGGTCATCCTGGAGTAGGCTGGGCCCTAAATGCAATGGCAGGTGTCCTTGTAAGAGACAGAAGAGAAGACACAGACACAGAGAAGAAGGCCACGTGGAGAACGGAGGCAGAGACTGGAGTGACGCGGCCACAAGCCCAGGAAGCCTGGAGCCCCCGGGAGCTGGGAGAGGCAGGAAGGACCCTCCCCTAGAACCTCTGGAGGGACTGTGGTCCTGCCTACACCTTGATCTCAGACTCCTGGACACCGGGACTGGGAGAAAACAAGTTGCTGTTGTTAGAAGCCCAGAAACTCCTACAATACAGGGCCCAAGACCACTCCTTTCCTTCCCCCTCTTCCCCAGGAGCCTGTCCCTACCAAAAAAAAAAAAAAAAAAAAATTAGCCAGGCGTGGTGGTGCATGCCTGTGCTCCCAGCTACTCGGGAGGCTGAGGCAGGAGGATTGCTTGAGCCCAGGAGTTGGAGTCTCACTGGGTGACAGAGCAAGACTTCGTGTCTACAAAAATAAAAATAAATCAATGAAACACACAAGAGGACAGAAACACAGGAAACGCGTGACGTAGAAAGCACGTAGAAAATAAATAACAAACTGGGAGACTGAAGTCCCTCCTAAAATCCTCATAAGCCAGCCAAAAGGAAGAAAATTTGGCGCTTGCTACAACAAACGTGAGTCTTGGAGCAGTGACGAAGCCAGACACAGAAAGATAAACACTGTGGGGCCGGGCGCCGTGGCTCACGCCTGTAATCCCAGCACTTTGGGAGGCCGAGGCAGGCGGATCATGAGGTCAGGAGATCGAGACCATCTCGGCTAACACGGTGAAAGCCCGTCTCTACTAAAAATACAAAAAAATTAACCAGATGTGGTGGCGGGCGCCTGTAGTCCCAGCTACTCGGGAGGCTGAGGCAGGAGAATGGCGTGAACCCGGGAGGCGGAGCTTGCAGTGAGCCGAGATCGCGCCACTGCACTCCAGCCTGGGCGACAGAGCAAGACTCCATCTCAAAAAAAAAAAAAAAAAAAAAAAAAAAGATACACACTGTGGGATTCCATTTACAGGAGGTCCCTGGAGTCCTCAGAGTCATGGAGATGGAGAGGAGGTTGATGGCAGCCGGGGAAAGGGAGTGAGTGTGTAAGGGGAACAGGGTTTCTGTTTGGGAAGATGAGAAACTTCTGGAGATACGGATGGTGGTGATGGCTGCAGAAGCCAACTGCAGTTCAAACTGCTGTGTACATTTACACACGGTGAATGCCGGCCGGGCACGGTGGCTCACGCCTGTCATCCCAGCACTTTGGGAGGCTGAGGCAGGTGGATCACCTGAGGTCAGGAGTTCAAGACCAGCCTCACCAACATGGGGAAACCCGGTCTCTACTAAAAATACAAAAAATTAGCCGGGCGTGGTGGCGGGCGCCTGTAATCTCAGCTACTCGGGAGACTGAGGCAGGAGAATCGCTTGAACCCAAGAGGCAGAGTTTGCAGTGAGCCGAGATCATGCCATTGCACTCCAACCTGGGCGACAAGAGTGAAACTCTGTCTTAAAACAAAATACATGGTTAATGCTCTAGACTTTGTGTTATGTGCGTTTTACCACAATTTGAAAAACACTGGAGGCCGGGCACAGTGGCTCACGCCTGTCATCCCAGCACTTTGGGAGGCTGAAGCAGGCGGATCACCTGAAGTCACCCATCGAAGACCAGCCTGGCCAACATGGTGAAACTCCATCTGTACTAAAACACTGGGGGGAAAGTGTCAGGAAGCGGCAGGTTAAGGAAAGGAAATGGTACGATTTTCTGGCCGGAAACGGGGAAAGGGGTCGGGAAGCGGCAGTCGAAGGAAAGGAAATGGTACGATTTTCTGGCTGGAAATGGGGGTGCTGTGTAGCTGTCACCTCTGGGTAAACAGCTCCTGACACGTGTTCAATAGGATTACGTTAAAACAAGTGGGTCGTGATTGATAACCTAATATCCAGACCGTGCGGATCATCTATCACCAGGAGTATATTAATTATTCAGAGGAGGTCCCTTATCTAGGTGTTAAGCCCTGGATGGATTAGATATTTGTTAGCATTAGGATAGCATCCTAATGCAATCCCACTCCTTGGCCCGCAACCCACTGACAGGCCCCGGTGTGTGATGTTCCCCTCCCTGCGTCCCTGTGTTCTCATCGTTCAGCTCCCACTTAGGAGTGAGAACATGCGGTGTGTGGTTTTCTGTTCCTGTGCGAGTTTGCTGAGAATGATGGTTTCCAGCTTCATCCATGTCCCTGCAAAGGACATGAACCCATCCTTTTTCGTGGCTGCATAGTATTCCATGGTGTCTGTGTGCCACATTCTCTGTATCCAGTCTATCATTGATGGGCATTTGGGTTGGTTCCAAGTCTTTGCTGTTGTGAACAGTGCCTCAATAAACATACGTGTGCATGTGTCTTTATGGTAGAGTGATTTATAATCCTTTGGGTATATACCCAGTAACGGGATGGCTGGGTCAAACGGTATTTCTAGTTCTACATCCTTGAGGAATCGCCACGCTGTCTTCCACAATGGTTGAACTAATTTATTTACACGTACTCCGATTTGCCTTAGATAAAGCTACAGGATAGCCAGGCAGGAAAAAGCACATACACATCAGCCCAGAAGGACTCGCCTAGATCGTTTTTATGTTAAACAAAGCAAAAGTAATAATAATAATAAAATTAAAATAATAAAGGAGACAGACTTTGTGGTTGCAAATCTGTCTGAATGTTTCTTGGGTGTTATTTTTTCCCCATCCCCGCCCCCCTCCAATTTATTGCTGAAATCAGCCGGTTAAATGGTGGCTCAAGAAGTCAGGCTCTCTCTGGTATCCAATTATCTCCTCCTTTCCTAACCAGAAACAACAGGTGTCCACCAGGTCTGCAAACAGCGTAGAAAAAAAAAAATACATATCCAGTCGTTTAAAAATTGTAAATCTATGCCGTATGAATTTAAACCAGACGTGCTTCAGCTGAGGGGCAGGCTGAGTTCCAGCCAACGGTTTCGAGCAGGAAGGGCAAGAAATAGCTCTCATTATATTTCCTTAGCTGACTGTTATTCCAGGAAACCTTTGCTTAAAGGTGCCGGTGCCCAGTTAATGATAGTTGCCTTCCCCAAAGTCAAAGCTATTTTGTGAAAAGGAGTGTATGACACTATTTGCTAGCATTTAGGAGACCTGCATTATTTAGAATTGAATCTTCAAGAGAGGAACAGACTGCAGACATAAACATCCTCATTATTTTGAATCCGAGTCATCTTCCACAGCCACAAAAAAAAAAAAAAAAAAATTATTAAAGCAAACCTTTTAGGGATCGTTGGTCTGTGATTCATTTGGATTATTATTTTTTTTTCCAGCTTCCTTTCTTTTCCTTAAAATCTCACAGACACTCGGAGCTCTGGATAAACGCCGGCTTACGGGTGGCGCACGGTATTTTAGCTGCATTGGACATTATTTATTTTCCGTGAAAACCCTGTGCTTTCAACACAGTTCACCGAATATGCAGCTCTCCTCATTCCATCCGCTGCCAGTGCTTATCCTAGTTTCTGAGAACATTAAAATGAATGCAAACCTCTCTGCCCCTGCCATCTGGGCCCATTCAGCCCTCACCGGGGCCCGTGTGTTCATCACACCTGCTGCCCATAGCTGGAAAGTTGGCGGTAGGTCTTCTGAAATACGTGTGTCAGGATTAAAGTTATCCATTCAACCCCACTGCCGCCCTCTGGAAGGGAAGATGCCTCTTTCACGCCCCCACTCACCTCCAGCTCTGGGCTAAGGGGGTGACCCTATGAGGCAAGGAAGCCACTTTGGGGATGCTCTGAGCCCTGGTCCCCCTCATTCCCCGAATGCCACCTCCCGGGTACCTGGTGGAGACGTTCGCATGATGTGGGACTTTCCAGGTACCGCATAAGAGAAGGTGCTGGCCAGGAGCGGCGGCTCACACCTGTAATCCCAGCATTTTGGGGAGGCTGAGACAGGAGGATCGCTGGAGACCAGGAGGTCGAAGCAACCGTGAGCTGTGATCACACCAGGGTACTCCAGCCCAGGTGACAGAGCAAGACCCTGTTTAAAAATATATATATTTATATATTTGTATGTATATATAACATTAAAACATTATATGTATATAGCATTAAAATGTTATATATGTCATATATAAATATAAAACATTTATATATAACATTAAAACCTTATATATATAACATTAAAACCATATATATATATATATTTTTTTTTTTACAGATAGTTGTTATTTCAGACCTTGTCTCAAAAACAAAAAAAGAGGCCAGGCATGGTGGCTCACGCCTGTAATCTCAGCACTTTGGGAGGCCGAGGAGTGAGGATCACTTGAGCCCAGGAATTCAAGACCAGCCTGGGCAACATAGTGAGACCCTGTATGTACCAAAAGAAATCAAAAACTTAGCTGGGCGTGATGGTGCATGTCTGTAATCCCACATACTTAGAAGGCTGAGGTGGGAGGATCGCTTGAGCCTGGGAAGTTGAGGCTGCAGTGAGCTATGATTACACCACTGCACTCCAGCCTGGGCAACATAGTGAGGCCTGATCTCCACAAAAGATCAAAAACTTAGCCGGGCGTGGTGGCGCACACATGTAGTCCCAGCTACTTGGGAGGCTGAGGCAGGAGGATCGCTTGAGCCTGGGAAGTTGAGGCTGCAGTGAGCTATGATTACACTGATGCACTCCAGCCTGGGCAACATAGTGAGGTCTCATCTATACAAAAGATCAAAAAATTAGCCAGGCATGGTGGTGCACACATGTAATCCCAGCTCCTTGGGAGGCTGAGGCAGGAGGATCGCTTGAGCCTGGGAAGTTGAGGCTGCAGTGAGCTATGATTACACTGTTGCACTCCAGCCTGGGCAACACAGTGAGATCCTATCTCAAAAAAAAGAAAAAAGACAAAACAAAAAACACAACATTTTTTAAAAGAGAAGATGCTGTTTCAGGACACGGTAGTCTCCGCTCACTTAGGCATATCTGGGACCGGGTATATCTGTGAGCAGGTTTGTGTGAAGTCATTTTCCAAAGACAATACACCAATTTCCGAAAGGAAGCAGTGAGCCGTAGCAGCTCAGGAACCCCAGACTGGGTTCACCTTCCTATATAGCTCCGTGGGGAGGGATCCCGTCTAGCGTCCTAGGCGTTCGTAGGGTACAGACCGCAGACACAGAGGGAAGGCGGGGGCCGTAGGAGGGCCGGGATTGTGTTGTTTTTCACTGCAATGACATAAAACGTATTATATGAAATTCACCATAAATTTCACAACATAAAACTCACCACTTTAACCGCCGTGAAAATCTCAGTGGCATTGAGAACATCACTGCGCCGTGTAACCACCCCCTCTGTCTACTTCCAGAACATCCTTCTCCCCATAAAAGGAGACCCCCTCCCCAGGAAGCAGTTCCTCCTCATTCCCTCCCCACAGCCTGTGGCAACCACTCATCTGAGCTCTCTCTCTGTGCATTGGCCGCTTCCGGACAGTTGACGTAAGGGGATTGTACAATAAGCCAAAGGAAATATCGCTGAGTGTGACTTCTTCAGGGTGTATCCACGTTGCAGCCTAGGTCACAGCCTCATTCTTTTTCATGGCTGTATAGTACTCCACTGGGTGGGCACAAAGTGAGTGAACCACTGTTTGTTTATCGATTCATCCACTGAGGGACACCTGGATGGTTTCCATGTGTGTGCTCCTACAAACGTGAGCGAGCAGATATCTCTTCCAGTCCCTCTTTCTTTTTTTTGAGACGGAGTTTCACTCTTGTTGCCCAGGATGGAGTGAAATGGCGCCATCTCGGCTCACCACAACGTCCGCCTCCCGGGTTCAAGGGATTCTCTTGCCTCAGCCTCCTCAGTAGCTGAAATTACAGGCAGGCACCTCCACGCCCTTGGCTAATTTTGTATGTTTAGTAGAGACGGGGTTTCTCCATGTTGGTCAGGCTGGTCTCCAACTCCCGACCTGAGGTGATCCACCTGCCTCGGCCTCCCAAAGTGCTGGGATTACAGGCGTGAGTCACTGTTCCCGGCCCCTCCTTTCTATTCTTTTAGGTACATACTTAGCTGGGGTATTACTGGGTTCTATGGAAATTCTCTGTTTCACACTTTCAGGAGCCCCTGTGGTCCCATGAAAGCCAGATAAGAATCAACAGGCCCGGCACAGCGGCTCACGCCTGTAATCCCAGCACTTTGGGAGGCCAAGGCAGGTGGATCACCTGAGGTCAGGAGTTCGAGACCAGCCTGGCCAACAGGGTGAAACCCCATCTCTACTAAAAATACAAAATTTACAAGTGGTGGCGGGTGCCTGTAATCCCAGCTACTCCGGAGGCTGAGGCAGGAGAATGGCTTGAACCTGGGAGGCGGAGGTTGTGGTGAGCAGAGATCGCGCCATTGCTGTCCAGCCTAAGGGACAAGAGCGAAACTCCATCTCAAAAAAAAAAAAAGAAAAAATCTACATCCACAGGACCCCGGCACTGGGGCAGGGCAGGAAGGAGGGGCAACAGCAGGTCTTGGCGGGGCTCCTGGCTGCTCACATGTGGTGAGCCGGTCTCAAGGCCAGGCTGGAGGCTCTGAAGGAGGTTTCAGCTGACCTCAAGGACTAGCAGCTCCTTCCCCTCTTACTAACACACAGGCATTCATTTACCAGAATGAATACTGGAGATAAATTTTCCAGCCTGGGGGGTGGAGGGAACAGCTGTTTTTTGCTGCCCCATTTCACATAAAGCAAAACACTACATGAGGCCCACGCTATTCCCACGAGCCTCTCCCCATTTGCTTTCTGATGGCCTAACTTTCCATCCAGCCTTGGTGTCTGGGGAGCTTCAAGATTCCAGAACCCGGCTGGGCGCGGAGGCTCACGCCTGTAACCCCAACACTTTGGGAGACCGAGGCGGGAAGATCACCTGAGGTCGCGAGTTCGAGACCAGCCTGGCCAACGTGGTGAAATCCCGTCTCTACTAAAAATACAAACATTAGCCGGGTGTGGTGGCTCATGCCTGTAATTCCAGCTACTCGGGAGGCTGAGGCAGGAGAATGGCTTGAACCCGGGAGGTGGAGGTTGGAGTGAGCTGAGTTGGCACCATTGCACTCCAGCCTGGGCAACAAGAGCAAAATTCCATCTAAAAAAAAAAAAAAAAAGGATTCCAGAACCTTCCTCCCAAACAAGGAAGGTGGGAAAGAAACCCAGGCCGTCCCTGACAACTTTCTGAGCATGAACAAGTCAGAAACAGAACTTGGGGGGGCTGAGGTCTATGGAGCCTGGAGGAGGGCTACACCCCAATTCCCGATCCTACCCCAAAGGTCACCCCAGCAGCCACATCATTTTTAGCCCTAGGTTTGAATAACTACATAAATATGGTTTGTAAAAATGAATAGGTGTTATTTGTGATAATAATCCCAGGCAGGGCACGGTGGCTCATGCCTGTCATCCCAGCAGTTTGGGAGGCCAAGGCAGGTGGATCACTAGAGGTCAGGAGTTCGAGACCAGCCAGACCAACATGGTGAAATTCCATCTCTACTCAAAATACAAAAGTAGCCAGGTGCGGTGGCTCACACCTCTCATCCCAGCACTTCGGGAGGCTGAGGTGGGTGGATCATGAGATCAGGAGTTCGAGACCAGCCTGACCAACATGGAGAAACCCCGTCTCTACTAAAAATACAAAATTAGCCGGGCGTGGTGGCGGGCGCCTGTAATCCCAGCTCCTCGGGAGGCTGAGGCAGGAGGATCGCTTGAACCCGGGAGGCGGAGTTTGCGGTGAGCCGAGCTCATGCCACTGCACTCCAGCCTGGGCGACAGCGCGAGACTCCATCTCAAAAGTAGATAAATATATAATCCCAGCACTTTGGGAGGCTGATGTGGGAGGATCACTTGAGCCCAAGGGTTTGAGACCAGCCTGGTTTGCAATATAGTGAGACCCCCATCTCTACAAAACATTAAAATATATATATATATATATATATATATATATATATATATATAGCCAGGTATGGGCCCGGCGTGGTGGCTCACGCCTATAATCCCAGCACTTTGGGAGGCCGAGGCAGGTGGATCACCTGAGGTCAGGAGTTCGAGTCCAGCGTGGCCAGCTTGGTGAAACCCTGTCTCTACTGAAAATACAAAAATTAGCCAGACGTGGTGGCGGGTGCCTGTCATCCCAGCTACTCGGGAGGCTGACACAGGAGAATCGCTTGAACCTGGGAGGCGGAGGTTGTGGTAAGCCAAGATCACACCGCTGCTCTCCAGCCTGGGTGACTGACCCTGCCTCCAAAAAAAAAAAAATAGACAGGCATGGTGGCATGCACCTGTAGTCCCAGCTAGTTGGGAGGCTGAGGAGGGAAGATTTCTTGAGCCTGGAAGATCAAGGCTGCAGTGAGCTATGATTGCACCACTGCCCTCCAGCATGGGCGACAGACCAAGAAGCTGTCTCAAATAAATAAAATCATAAAATGAAAATAAATATTGCTAATACATAATGCAATGGTCCACAAGGTCGCTGGCCTGTGGATTGTGAGCAGAACGGCCTGTCTTTGCGTTCAGAACCTCACACTTACACACCCCTGCTCCCGGCCTCTGTGTCCCTCTGTCTCTGACACACACAGACACACACACACACACACACACACAAAGTATGTGATACTTTCTCCTGTCAATCTCAGAGAACTCCAATGAGACTGTAGGAAACGTGAACACATACGTGATCAATTCTGACAGTTCTTGGCAGCCGGGCAGCTGAGCCCTGGCTAGCATCTCTCTCTCCCCATCCAAGATTGAGTTTGGACGGAAACTCAGTCCTCATTTAAGAAGCAATTAAAGGGCCTTATAGACTGCTGGAGAATGAAGTGATTAATGCAAAGAGTCTCGTTTAATAGGGATATTAAGTAAACTGCTGCTTAAAACGCCCATTTATCATCCACGGATTCCTATTTGCCTTCCCGTTCCGCCAGCATGAGCATTTTCAGGAGGCAGGAGGTTTCCTGAGCGCGGCCGTTGCAAATGCCAGAAATCAAGCCGGTGGGTTTTTAGCTAATTCTGAGGGAGGCTAAACGGAACCCATAGCACGAGAAGGGGGTTGCCATGAGAGTTCGTGACAACTTCGAGATGCAGAGAACACACAGGATGTCGGCAAGGGAGTCCGGCCCCAGCTGCCCGCCGGGGAACACAGGGCGTACCACACCCCCAAATCCCTTTCCCCAAACACTGTGGGGACCCAGACGGGTGGCTGCTAATTCTGAAAATCGCGTGAATGTTGGCCGGTGTGGTGGCTCACGTCCGCGATCCCAGCACTTTGGGAGGCCGAGGCGGGAGGATCACTTGAGGTCAGGAGTTGGAGACCAGCCTGACTCACATGGTGAAACCCCACCTCTACTGAAAATACAAAAAAAAATTAGGCAGGTGTGGTGGCGGGGGCCTGTCATCCCAGCTGCTCGGGAGGCTGAGGCAGGAGAATCGCTTGAATCCAGGAGGTGGAGGTTGCGGTGAGCCGAGATCGTGCCATTGCACTCCAGCCTGGGCGACAGAGTAAGACTCAGTCTCAGAAAAAAAAAAAGGCCAGGTGTGGAGGCTCATGCCTGTAATCCCAGCACTTTGGGAGGCCAAGGCAGGCGGATCACCAGGTCAGGAGTTTGAGACCATCCTGGCCAACATGGTGAAACCCTGTCTCTACTAAAAACACAAAAATTAGGCAGGCGTGGTGGTGGGTGCCTGCAATCCCAGCTACTCGGGAGGCTGAGGCAGGAGAATCACTTGAACTCAGGAGGCGGAGGTTGCAGTGAGCCGAGATTGCACCACTGCACTCCAGCCTGGGCGACAGAGCAAGACTCCATCTCAAAAAAAAAGACCTTCAGAGAAAATCCAACACCACCAAATGTCAGATGTGGCAACTTATAAACAACAGACAAATGCTGCGCGCAGTGGCTCCCACCTGTAATCCCAGCAGTTTGGGAGGCCAAGGCAGGTGGATCACCTGAGGTCGGGAGTTCGAGACCAGCCTGGCCAATATGGAGAAACCCCGTCTCTACTAAAAATACAAAAATTAGTCAGGCATGGTGGCAGGCGCCTGTCTTCCCAGCTACTCGGGAGGCTGAGGCAGGAGAATTGCTTGAACCCAGGAGGTGGAGGTTGCAGTGAGCTGAGATCACGCCACTGCACTCCAGCCTGGGTGACACAGCGAGACTCTGTCTCAAAAAATAAAAACACATATTTCAATCATCATCTTTATTTCTTTTTTAAATCATGGCAACTTTTATTTCGGATTCAGGAGGCTCATGTGCACATTTGTTGCTTGAGTATAATGTGTGATGCTGAAGTTTGGGGCATGAAGGATTGTGCCATCCAAGTACTGAGCATGGGACCCAACGTATGATTTTTCCGCCTTTGCCTCCATCCTTCCCTCCCCCGTCTAGCAGACGCCAGCATCTATTGTTCCCATTTCTATGACTATTTGTACCCAATTTTAGCTCCCTCTTATGTGGGCCTCCACTGAGGCAAGAGAATGGCGTGAACCAAGGAGGCGGAGCTTGCAGTGAGCCGAGACCGCGCCACTGCACTCCAGCCTGGGCGACAGAGTGAGAATCCGTCTAAAAAAAAAAAAAAAAAAGAAGAAGAAGAAGCGCCTCCAGCTGCATCCGTATTTCTGCAAAGGACATGATTTGATTCTTTTTCATGGCTGTGTAGCATTCAATGTTACAGATGGATCATATTTTCTTTTTTTTTTTTCCGAGACAGAATCTTGCAACCTCTGCCTCCCAGGCGCGACCTCAGCTCGCTGCAACCTCCGCCTCCCGGGTTCAAACGATTCTCCCGCCTCAGCCTCCGAAGTAGCCAGGGTTCCAGGTGTTCACCACCAGGCTTGGCTACTATTTGTATTTTTTTTTCTTTTTTTGAGCCGTAGTCTCACTTTTGTCACCCAGGCTGGAGTGCAATGGCATGATCTTGGCTCACTGCAACCTCCACCTCCCGGGTTTAAGTGATTCTCCTGCCTCAGCATCTCAAGCAGCTGGGATTACAGGCACCTGCCACCACGCCTGGCTAACTTTTTTTTTTTTTTTGAGATGGAGTCTCACACTGTCACCCAGGCTGGAGTACATTGGTGCGATCTCGGCTCACTGCAACCTCCACCTCCCAGGTTTAAGTGATTCTCCTGCCTCAGCCTCCCGACTAGCTGGAACTACAGGTGCCCACCACCATACCTGGCTGATTTTTTTGTATTTTTAGTAGAGATGGGGTTTCACCATGTTGGTCAGGCTGGTCTCGAACTGCTGACCTCGTGATCCACCCGCCTCAGCCTCCCAAAGTGCTGGGATTGCAGGCGTGAGCCACCACGTCCGGCCTCAAGACTCTTTCTAATCCCCACCTCCTCCTAAAGCACCAGCCATCCTGCATAGAACCAAGAAACCCCAACAGGTTTCCTAACGAAATTGCCTGAGCTGTAACTTCTGCCAAATAAAATAAGCGTGTGGCAGACGGCGACCGAGGACTTTGCGTGAGCACGGACGGAGATTAGGAAGCAGCCGACTTTCCTGAGCAGCCTCTGCCTTCAGGAGCGTCTCGGCACGGCGGGCACGCACCTCACCCACCCTCCCCGGGGAGTCCTCCTTTGGCACATCCCTGGGGTGCCCTGGGGAAGTCACCGGGCCAGGGCCAGGGCTGGAGATGGCCGGTACCACAGTCTCAGAAGAGAGCAGTGAGGGCCCACAGGTGCCCAAGGGTCTCTCTCTCCAACAGAGCCTCCTCCTCGGGGAAAGGACTTCTGAGAGCAGGTGCAAACGTGTGCACGGCCCACCACGGCGTGTCTGCTCCTGACAGACTCATCCCGCAAGCCCAGGACGAACAAGGATGGGAGGATCCTGCGGAGCCGACAGTGACGTCACTCCCGAGACGCAAAACAAAGCAAAGGGGGGCTGGAGGTGGCACTTCCTTCAGGCAAGAGGGGCTCTGAGGAGAGGCCGCCAACGTTCACTGACATGCATGCACACACACAGACATGCAGGCGAATGCACACACAGGTACACAGATACACAGAAACATGTACACACATACGTACAAGGCACACCCACATTCACACAGACACACACATACAGACACATTTGCACACACACACACATATACAGGCAGATGCACGCACAGACACACAGATACACAGAAACGTACACACGTACGTACATAGGCATATGTACACTCACACAGACACACATATATGAACACATGTGCACACAGACACATATACAGGCATATGCATGCACAGACATACAGAAACATGTACACATATACGTGCATAGGCATGCCCACCTCACGCAAATACACACACATGAATGCCACTCACACGCATACACACAGAGACACACAGGCATATGCATGCACAGACATGCAGAAACATGTACACACATGTCCATAGGCACATTCACACACTCAAGACACAGGCGTATACGCAGACACACAGAAACATGCACACACACACGTGCATAGGCATGCCCACACTCACACACACATCCACTCACATGCACGCACACACACATGCAAGCATATGCACACAGAAACATGTGCACACATATGTGCATAGGCATGTCCACACTGAGACACGCACATACACTCCCACGCATGCACTCAGACACGCATACAGGTGCATGCATGCACAGACATGCAGAAACACATACACACATAGGTGCATAGGCACACGTCCACCCTCACACTAACATACACACACACTCACACGCATGCACACAGAGACACACAGGCATATGCATGCACAGACATGCAGAAACATGTATACACATGTCCATAGGCACATTCACACACTCAAGACACAGGCGTATACAGACACACAGAAACATGCACACACACACGTGCATAGGCATGCCCACACTCACACACACATCCACTCACATGCATGCACACACACATGCAAGCATATGCACACAGAAACATGTGCACACATATGTGCATAGGCATGCCCACACTGAGACACGCACATACACTCCCACGCATGCACTCAGACACGCATACAGGTGCATGCATGCACAGACATGCAGAAACACATACACACATAGGTGCATAGGCACACGTCCACCCTCACACTAACATACACACACACGCATGCACACAGACACACATGGGCGTATGCACACACAGAAACATGCACACACACACGTGCATAGGCACGCTCACACTCAGACACACACACATACACTCACATGCATGCACACAGACACACATACAGGTGCATGCATGCACACATACATACACACATGGACACACATAGACACATGCTGACGCCACACACAGATGCACACACACGGGCGCGTGCGCACACACGGACACACACAGAGGCACGCAGACACCACACACACATGTGGACACACGTGCACACACACACGCGGACACGCTCACGCTGCATGGAGGCCGTCCAGCCTGCCCTTCCCGCAAACACCTGACATGCCCTTGCTGGAGTAAAAAATACAGATGCAAATGACTCTTTTACAGGGGGGTTAGCGCATCATTTCTCCCCACTCTGCATCTTGCGTGTGTGACGGGGCACGGGGCGGCAGCCGGGGCCGGGGGTCGGCCAGGACGGTGCTGGGTGAACCAGGGCTCCCCCCACCGCAGCCTCCGTGTGGACCGGTCGTCGACATGATGTGTCATAATTTGGCCTCCGAAGCTGACAGGCCCGGCTGACTGGGGGCATTAAATCATTGCCCCGAGGGACTCTCACTCTGGCAACGCGCGCTGGTACGGCTGTCATCTCCTCCCACACAGTACCTATCATTTTTGACATGATTGGATCAAAATTAGTCAGTGCATTTAGATGTAAATTACACACATCCAAGAATCGTAATGAGCACGAAAAAAAAAAAGAAATACAGCCCTGTAGAGTTGACACGGCCCACGGCTTCCATCCGTCCTGCACCGCGTCCCCGGCTGATGAGCCCCCTGATAATGAAACTGGCGTATCAAAAAAAAGTCAGGAAACTTTTTTGAGGGGCATATTTAACCGAGCCTTAAATTCCCATATAAGTCTGTAATGTTGGCTCACCCAGAAGTCCCCGCTTTACCCAACGGCTCCCAACACAGAGAGAGACATAGCTGGTCTCTCCTGAAGCGTGGCTCAGCCCTGGCACGGCTCTCACCTCTGCTCACGTATCTCGGGCCTTTTCTCCCCATTCCCCCTGGATTCCTTCCTAATGCAGAATTCTCTTCCGAGGCACAAGGAGACACTGTCCACCTGGGCTTGTGACCCGGGCATTCTCGGGGTCAGCTTTGCCGGGATAGGGCAGGGGGCCACTGCTATCTTTCTCTGCAGGCTGGACGGCTTCAATGGGGGAGCTGAAATTATCTACTCAATGCCTACTTCCTCCTGGAATTGGGACTCAGCTGCCAGAAAACCTTCCCGAAACAGTCCCTCTAACGCTGAGGACCTTCCAGGTCCAGCCAGCCTCATACTCCAGGCCAAATGTCTCCCGCCGGCTCCAGATACACACAGGTTTGGGGTCAGGACCTCGTACTAACCCTCCTCAGCCAACCCACAGCTTTGAGAGCTGGTTTCTAACAACTGCATTATTTAAGCCGGCTCATGAACGACGGCGTTATTTCAGCACCAAACTAGCCTACTTTGCCTGTAACTGGTTTTACATTTGTTTTTTTTAAACATGGCCACACACACACACAAAAGAAGGGGAGAAACGCTTCTGAACACATACCTTTAAATATTCCTTAATCAGACACGCTTGATAAAACTGACAGGGCTGTCCAGAGGGCAGACACAAAACTCTTTCTCCTGCAAACCGTGGAAATCTTGGTGCGTAGAAACAGCTCTCCCCGCTCATGCGGGAAAACCTCACTTCAATTTGACATCCGGAGGTAACGACGGGGCACCTGCGTGCATCCCCAGCTCAGCCTTTCCACGGGGCCAGGCGGGCTTGAATTGAGTTAGGTAATTAGTGTGTGTTTGGCCTGTCACCCGTGTTTAGGGCAATAGCCTGGTGCATGAAGCCGTCATTAAACATCTCGGGCTGTGATGACCGCGTGTGTGGGGAAATTCTGGGGCCGGCAGGCGGAGAGGGGTGTCCCAAGGCAGGCCAGGGCTGGAGGGTATATAGAACCACCGTGGCAGCCAGGCTCTGGGAGCTCTCCGAGGTCTCTGAGACAAGATGATTACCGGAGCCAGAAGGTTAAACTGTCTTCACGCTTCCCCCAGCAGGTTGACAGCGTAAGGTAAAATACTTGTGTTTCACTGGAGCAATTCAAAACTCCGTCTACGATACACAGACAGAGCCCCCAACATCCAGGTTTTCACAGCAACGTAAAGAAATCCTGAAATAAAGCAAAAATGTACCTGAGCATTTTTTTTCTTTTCTTTTCTTGAGACGGAGTTTCGCTCTTGCTGCCCAGGCTGGGGTGCAATGGCGCAGTCTCGGCTCACTGAAACCTCCGCCTCCCGGGTTCAAGCCATTCTCCTGCCTCAGCCTCCCGAGTAGCTGGGATTACAGGCACCTGCCACCACGCCCAGCTGATTTTAGTATTTTTAGTAGAGACGGGGGTTCACCGTGTTAGCCAGGCTGGTCTTGAACTCCCGACCTCAGGTGATCTGCCCACCTCTGCCTCCCAAAGTCCTGGGATTACAGGCATGAGCCAACGCGCCTGGCCTATTTTTTGAATTATTATTTTATTTTTAAGACAGGGTCTGGCTCTGTTGCCCAGGCTGGAGTGCAGTAGCTCAATCATGGCTCACTGCAGCCTCGGACGCCTGGACTCAGGCGATCCTCCCTCCTCGGACTTCCCAGTGTCTGGGACTACAGACGTGAGCCACCACGCCTGACTAATTTTTTTTTTATTTTGTGTAGAAATCGGGGTCTTGCTATGTTGCCCAGGCTGGTCTTAAACTCCTTGGCGTCAAGCAATCCTCCCACCTTGGCCTCTCAAAATGCTAGGATTGCAGGATTGCAGGCGTGAGCCACCGGCCCGGCCGCCCTTGGCCATTTCTGACCTCCGAGCTGAAGGACTCAGTATATTTGAAATGCGGTGTTTGCGGCCAGGCGTGGTGGCTCGGGCAGGTAACCTGCGGTCAGGAGTTCGAGACCAGCCTGGCCAGCATGGTGCACAGATATGGCGTGCACCTGTAACCCCAGCTACTTTGGAGGTTGAGGCATGAGAATCACTTGAACCTGGGAGGCGGAGGTTGCAGTGAGCCGAGATAGTACCATTGCACTCCAGCCTGGGGGTACAAGAGCAAGACTCCTTCTCAAAAAAAAAAAAGAAAGAAAAGAAAACAGAAAGCAAAACCAGTGTCTTATTTTCTCCATGAAGGAATCCCGTACTTCCATATCAGTGCTAAAATCATAGGGGGCTTAAACCTATCGATGCCTAGCATTCCATTATTGGAACGCTAAGCATCTGGCAGTTATTTACCGCCTATTGTCAAAGTCATTGCCAAGGTCTGGTTTTTCACACATATCTGCAAATACAAGAAACTGCCACCTCCAGCATAAAACAGGACATCTTTGGGAAGCACGATGCCGGCCCTTCAGTTTCAACTCAGGACAAAATGAAGATTTTATTTTTTATTTTTAATTTTTGAGACGAATTTTCACACTTGTTGCCCAGGCTGGAGTGCAAAATCTCGGCTCACTGCAACCTCCGCCTCCCAGGTTCAAGCAACTATCCTGCCTCAGCCTCCCGAGTAGCTGGGATTACAGGCACCCGCCACCACGCCCAGCTAGTTTTTGTATTTTTAGTAGAGACGGGGTTTCACCATGTTGGCCAGGCTGGCCTCGAACTCCAGACCTCAGGTGATCGGTCCGCCTTGGCCTCCCACAGTGCTGGGATTACAGGTGTGAGCCACCGTGCCCAGCCCAAAACAAAGTTTTGAGACCTCTTCTCAGAAAAAGAAAATCATCCTGTTTGCAAACCATTGAATAGACAGGTAGATAACTGACTGATGGACAATTGATAGATATGATGAAAGATGATACATAGTTGATTTGATAGGTAAATAGATGATTGATAATTGATACAGATGATTGATGATTGATGCATAAATGATATAGATCAAGGATTGATGATTGATAGCTGATTGATAGGTATGATGGATAATTGATATAGATAGATGATTGATGATAGTTGATAGGTATGATGCATAATTGATATAGATGATAATTGATAAATAGTTGATTGATAGGTGTGATGGATAATTGATATAGATTGATAGGTAGTTGATTGATAGGTATGATGGATAATTCATATAGATAGATGATTGATGATAGTTGATAGGTATGATGCATAATTGATATAGATGATTGATAATTGACAAATAGTTGATTGATAGGTTTGATGGATAATTGATATAGATGATTGATGATTGATAGATAGCTGATCGAAAGGTGTGACGGATAATTGATATAGATTGATGATAGGTAGTTGATTGATAGATATGATGGATAATTCATATAGATAGATGGTTGATTGATAAGTATGATGGATAATTGATATAGATAGATGATTGATGATTGATAGGTATGACAGATAATTGATATAGATTGATGATTGATAGATGGTTGATTGATAGGTATGATGGATAATTGATATATGATTGACGATTGATAGCTGATTGATAGGTATGATGGATAATTCACACAGATAGATGATTGATGATATATGATTGATAGGTTTGATGGATAATTGATATAGATGCTTGATGATTGATGATTGTTAGTTGATTGATATGTATGATGGATAATTAGTATAGATAGATGATTGATGATAGATAGTTGATTGATAGGTATGATGGATAATTGATATAGACAGATGATTAATGATAGCTGATTGATAGGTATGACAGATAATTGATATAGACAGTTAATAGGTAGATAATTGACTGATAGATCACTGATAGGTGATAGATAGACAAACAGAGATTGTCTCAGCCTCAGGCAGTGTCTTTCAGCCCTGGTACTTCCGACACATGGGACTGGACGATTCTCTCTGGTGGGGCTGATCTGTGCACTGTAGGGTGTTGAGCAGTGTCCCTGGGCTTCACCCACCAGCGACCAGAAGCACCCTCACTCCACAATCCAGACAACCAAAAGTGTCCCCAGAGACTGACAAAGTGTCCTCAGAGGAGACAATCGGCAGCAGCTGAAAAGCACAGATTAGATAGATAGGTAGATAGATGATAGATAGATAATGGGTCAATAAATAGATCTGTAGATAGATGATAGATAGATAATAAAGATTGATGATAGATAATAGATAAAGGTAGATAGGCAGATCTAGATAAATAGGTAGATTGGTGGATGATAGATGATAGATTGATTGATTTATATATGATAGAGATAGATAGGTAATGGATGGGTAGATGATAGATGAATGATAGATGGATAGATAGATGATAGATAATAAAGATGGGTGATGGATGGATGAATGACAGATGATGGATAAATTGATTTATAGATGATAGAGATGATAGATGATGGATGGATGAATAGATAGATGTATGATAGATAATGGATAGATGGATAGATGGATGGATGGATGGATAGATGGATGGTTGGGAGAGAGAGAGATTATAGATAGATGATAGGTGGATAGATAGATAATAGATACATAGATAGATACATAGATAGATGATAGATAGATGATAGGTAGATAGATACATAGATACATAGATACATAGATAAATGATAGATGATAGGTGGGTAGATAGATAGATAGATAGATAGATAGATGCATAATAGATTGAGAGATTGATTGATTGATTGACAGATGATAGAGTCCCTCAGATAGTGTCTCTCAGCCTCACCTCTGCTGACATTTGGGGCTGGAGGATTCTCTGTGGTCACTGTAAGGTGGTGAGCAGCATCCCCGGGCTCCACAAACCAGGTGCCAGGAGCACCCCCCTCCCAGTTACCACACCCAGAACCGCCCCAGACAGTGCCGAGTGTCCGTCGGGGTGCATGTTCATCCCCAGTTGAGAACGGTCGCTCCCCAGTTCCCCCGGAAGCCATCCTCATTTCTAAAGTTCCAAGAACCTGGCCAGGCCGTTTCACCTCTCCACAAACATCTGACTTCTGCTCTGCTATATATTTAGAATCCTCTCCATTCATATTTATACCCACAGAGTCCTCTGCTGGCTGAACCCCTGGGCTCAATTTTTCAGCACGAAAAGAGCCTTTTTATTCCCATGGATTTTCACATGAAAACAGAGTGCATCGGATGGAGACGCACAATCCAAGAGGCAGCTCCACCGGCAAAAGGCCTGGAGAAAGTGCAGCTCCTGTGGGCTCCTGGGAACTCAAGGGCAGCAGGATGATGGGTGGGTACCACCGAGAGGAAAACTTCAGAGCAGGTGCAGAGGCTGACAGACGGCAGGTGCAGAGGCTGACAGACGGCAGCCTCCACCACAAACCAGAGCAGCATAAACAGACACAGTCTCAAGCCACAGCATGAGACATAAATAATGGCATTGCTTCCTTACCACAACACTCAGAGGCAGGCGCTATTTTCAGGTACATTTTTCCCGATGAGGAAATGAGGGGTTCATAGATGGTGAGAATTTCTCCTAATGCAATCCCTTCCACAGCCCCACAGCCCTCGACAGGCCCGGGTGTGTGATGTTCCCCTTCCTGTGTCCATGTGTTCTCATTGTTCAACTCCCACTTAGGAGTGAGAACATGCAGTGTTTGGTTTTCTGTTCCTGTGTGAGTTTGCTGAGAATGATGGATTCCAGATTCATCCATGTCCCTGCGAACGACATGAACTCATCCTTTTTGATGGCTGCATAGTATTCCATGGTGTCTATGTGCCACATTTTCTTTATCCAGTCTATCATTGATGGGTTGACTTGCTTAGAAAAACTTCCCTGTTGCCAAATACTGAGTGATGAAGAAAAACTCTGGGACTCATCTAGAAAGACGGTGAATTCAGAGAGCCGACATCATGGTGCACGCTAAGCAAAGACGACGGGCTTTGAAAACCTGCTGGGAATAGCAAAAGACTTGGGACCAACCCAAATGCCCATCAATGATAGACTGGATAAAGAAAATGTGGCACACAGACACCATGGAATACTATGCAGCCATGAAAAAGGGTGAGCTCCTGTCATTTGCAGGGACATGGACGAAGCTGGAAACCATCATTCTCAGCAAACTCACACAGGAACAGAAAACCAAACACCGCAAGTTCTTACTCCTAAGTGGGAGTTGAACAATGAGAGTATTTTTTTTAATCTTTATTTTTGCAGAGATGAGAAGCTAACTCTATTGCCCAGACTGGAGAGCTGTGGTACGATCTTGGCTCACTGCAGCCTCGACGTCCTGGGCTCAAGGAATGCTCCCACCTTAGTCTCCCCAGGAGCTGGGACTACAGGTGGAAACCACCACATCTACCTGATTTTTTTTTTTTTTTTTTTGAGACAGAGTCTCACTCTGTCGCCCAGGCTGGAGTGCAGTGGCGTGATCTCGGCTCACTGCAAGCTCTGCCTCCCGGGTTCACGCCACTCTCCTGCCTCAGCCTCCCGAGTAGCTGGGACTACAGGCGCCCGCCACCGCGCCCAGCTAATTTTTTGTATTTTTAGTAGAGACGGGGTTTCACCGTGTCAGCCAGGATGGTCTCGATCTCCTGACCTCATGATCTGCCCGCCTCGGCCTCCCAAGATATTTTTTTTATAGAGCTGGGGTCTTGCTATGTTGCCCAGACTGGTCTCAAACTCCTGGCTCCAGCGATCCTCCCACCTCAGCCTCCCAAAGTGCTGGGATTGCAGGCGTGAGCCACTGCACCCGGCCCCAAAGCACTTTTGGAAGGAATTTGAGGAGCAGATGCAGTAAGTGTCTCATGCATTATTTATTTTGCTTAGGAAGCATTTAAAATAATCCCCCTGCCAGGCACAGTGGCTCCCACTTGTAATCCCAGCACTTTAGGAGGCCGAGAAGGGAGGGAGGATCCCTTGAGCCCAGAAGTTTGAGATCAGTCTGAGCAACCTCATGACACCCCATCTCTACAATAAATTAATTAAATTAAATTAAATAATTCCCCAAGGTCCTCAGAACCACATTCAGTGATACACTTCCAAATACAACACATATAACTATGTATTTCTGTTATACATATAATAAAAGATATAACAAAGTCACATACAGTTGGTGCGGTTTGATCTAAACTATTCAAAGAAAAGTGACGTCACTGGGCACGGTGGCTCATGCCTGTAATCCCAGCACTTTGGGAGGCCGAGGCAGACAGATCACCTGTGGTCACTAGTTCAAGACCAGCCTGGCCAACACGGTGAGACCCCATCTCTACTAAAAATACAAAAATTAGCCAGGCGTGGTGGTGAGCACCTGTAGTCCCAGCTCCTCAAGAGGCGGAGGCAGGAGAATCACTTGAACCCAGGAGGTGGAGGTTGCAGTGAGCTGAGATCGTGCCACTGCACTCCAGCCTGGGTGACAGAGTGAGATTCCATCTTGAAAAAAAAAAAACCAGAAAAGTGACATCCTCACAATCTGTTGCTTCATTGGTGCAACCTCACCAGAGAGTTCTGAGGCCAGTGTGGACGCGGCTGCCATTTTTCTCTATATGATAGAGATAGACAGGGAATGGATGGATGGAGGGATGGATGGATGGATAAATACATACAGGATAGATAGATAAATAGACAGGTGATAGATAATAAAGATAGATGTGGGTGATTGATAGATGATGGATAAACTGATTGACTTACAGATGATAGAGATGATAAATAGAGGAGGGATGGTTGAGTAGATGCATGGATGGATAAATACATACAAGATGGATGAATAGATGGATAGATACATAGAAGACAGATAGATGATAGAATAGATGGATGGATGGATGGATAGATAAATACATGCAGGATAGATAGATGGATGAATAGATGATAGATAGATAATAGAATAGATGGATGGATGGATGAATACATACAAGATAGATGGATGAATAGGTGGATAGATACATAGATGATAGATAGATGATAGAATAGATGGATGGATGGATAGATAAATACATGCAGGATAGATGGATGAATAGATGGATAGATACATAGATGATAGATGATAGAATAGATGGATGATGGATAGATAAATACATGCAGGATAGATGGATGAATAGATGGATAGATACATAGATGAAGATAGATGATAGAATAGATGGATGGATGGATGGACAAATACATACAGGATAGATGGATGAATAGATGGATAGATACATAGATGACAGATAGATAGATAGATAGATAGATAGATAGATAGATAGATACATAGATAGATACATAGATAGATACATAGATAGATACATAGAATGGATAAATACACACAGGATAGATAGATGGATGACTAGATGGATAGATACATAGATGACAGATAGAATAGACGATGGATGGACGGATGAGAGAGAGATAGATGATAGATAGATAGATGATAGGTGGATAAATAGATAGATAATGGATAGACAGATAGATGATTGATTGATTGATTGACAGATGATAGATAGAGTCCCTCAGTCAGTGTCTCTCAGCCTCAGCTCTGCTGACATTTGGGGCTAGAGGATTCTCTGTGGCCAAACAGACCCCAGAGTGGTGTGTGGTGTGGTGTGGTTTAGACAAACGAGGCAGATGTTTTGAAATGCCAGCTTCCCTTGGTGCTCTGTGGACCCTCCATGGGCTTGTATTTAGTCCCAAATGGAGATCACGCCTGTCCCATTGAAGTGGCCTGTTCACATCACAGCTCCCCACCCTTCAGGAGGAATCAGACGCCCACCTTCGACCCATGGTGGGTACAATGTGAACTCCGTGTGCCTTGGGCCACCTTGTGGGCTGAGGTTGACGTGCACCTGTCATCCCAGCTACTCCGGAGGCTGAGGCAGGAGAATCACTTGAACTCGGGAGGCGGAGGTTGTAGTGAGCCGAGATCGTGCCACTGTACTCCAGCCTGGGCGACACAGCGAGACTCTGTCTCAAAAAAATGAAAAAAAAAATAAATAAAATAAAATGTCTATCCTAAATGAAATTTGCTGTGAGTATGGTGGGTACAGCTTGGGAAAATGAGTAGGTGTTTGGTGAAAAGGGAGGGGGGGAGGTCTCCCCTTTCTCTCAGCTGAGTGAAATCGAAGAGGAAAAAAATCTTAAAAGAAGGGGGAGGACTTGTAGGCTTATGCTAAAGTCCTGGAGTTGTAAAAGATAAAGGAAAGGGGACAGACAGGGTGGCTCACGCCTGTCATCCCAGCACTTTGGGAGGCCGAGGCAGGTGGATCACATGAGGTCAGGAGTTCGAGACCAGCCTGGCCAACATGGTGAAACCCCATCTCTACTAAAAATGCAAAATTAGCCAGGCGTGGTGGCAGGTGCCTGTACTCCCAGCTACTCAGGAGGCTGAGGCAGGAGAATCTCTTGAACCCGGGAGGCAGAAAATGCAGTGAGCCGAGATCACGCCATTGCACTCCACCCTGGGCAACAAGAGGAAAACTGTCTCAAAAAAAAAGAGTGGGCAGGACTTCTTGTTTTTTCGGGGGGCTTCTTGTTCTTGTTGTTTTCTGTTTTGAGACAGAGTCTCGCCCTGTCGCCCAGGCTGGAGTGCAGTGGTGCAATCCTAGCTCAGTACGGCCTCGGACTCCCGGGCTCAAAGGATCCTCCTGCCTCAGCCTCCCGAGTAGCTGGGACTACAGACCACCCCCCCCCCCCATCTACACCCGGCTAATTATTTTTTTTTTTATTTTTCTAGAAACAAAGTATCACTACGTCACTCTGTTGCTCAGGCTATAGTCTCAAACTTCTGGTCTCAAGCAATCCTCCGACCTCAGCCTCCCAAAGTGGTAGGATTACAGGCATGAGCCACCACGCCTGGCCAAATGTGTGTTTTTTTGAGCCACTCTGTGAACGGCCATTTGTTACACCTGCTGAAACAGCTTCGTAAGGGTGAGGCTTGTATTTCCAGAACACTATCTTGCTTGATCCTTGTAGCAAACCTACTACGGTATAGATGCCTTAGGCATATTTACAGATGTGTTGGCTGAGTGCAGTGGCTCACCCCCCTAATCCCAGCACTTCAGGAGTCTGAGGCGGGAGGATCAGTTGAGCCCAGGAGTTCGAGGCTGCAGTGAGCTATGATGACACCACAGAGCTTCAGCCTGGGAGACATAGCGAGACCCCATCTCTATCTGTTGGCTGAGTGCAGTGGCTCACCCCCCTAATCCCAGCACTTCAGGAGGCTGAGGTGGGAGGATCAGTTGAGCTCAGGAGTTCGAGGCTGCAGTGAGCTATGATGACACCACAGAGCTTCAGCCTGGGAGACATAGCGAGACCCCATCTCTATCTGTTGGCTGAGTGCAGTGGCTCACCCCCCTAATCCCAGCACTTCAGGAGGCTGAGGCGGGAGGATCAGTTGAGCCCAGGAGTTCGAGGCTACAGTGAGCTATGATGACACCACAGAGCTTCAGCCTGGGAGACATAGCGAGACCCCATCTCTATCTGTTGGCTGAGTGCAGTGGCTCACCCCCCTAACCCCAGCACTTCAGGAGGCTGAGGTGGGAGGATCAGTTGAGCCCAGGAGTTCGAGGCTACAGTGAGCTATGATGACACCACAGAGCTTCAGCCTGGGAGACATAGCGAGACCCCATCTCTATCTGTTGGCTGAGTGCAGTGGCTCACCCCCCTAATCCCAGCACTTCAGGAGGCTGAGGTGGGAGGATCAGTTGAGCTCAGGAGTTCGAGGCTGCAGTGAGCTATGATCACACCACAGAGCTTCAGCCTGGGAGACATAGTGAGACCCCATCTCTACCAAAAAAAATCATTTAGAAAAAAACAGCCAGGCATACTGGCACACACCTGTAGTCCAGCTACTCAGGAGGCTGAGGCAGGAGTATGGCTTGAGCCCAGGAGGCTGAGGCTGCAGTGAGCTGGGATCACATCCCTGCAGTCCATCCTGAGCGACAGAGCAAGACCCTGTCTCAAAACAAAAAATGCAAGGACCCTGATCACGTCACTGCACTTCAGCCTGGGCAACAGAGAAAAGCCTCATCTGTACTAAAAATAAAAATAACGGGCCGGGCGTGGCGGCTCACACCTGTCATCCCAGCACTTTGGGAGGCCGAGGTGGGTGGATCACAAGGTCAGGAGATCGAGACCATCCTGGCCAACACGGTGAAACCCCGTCTCTACTACTAAAAATACAAAAAATTAGCCGGGCGTGGTGGCGGGCGCCTGTAGTCCCAGCTACTCTGGAGGCCGAGGCAGGAGAATGGCGTGAACCCGGGAGGCGGAGCTTGCAGTGAGCCGAGATTGCGCCACTGCACTCCAGCCTGGGCGACAGAGAGAGACTCTGTCTCGAAAATAAATTAATTAATTAATTAAAATTAAAATTAAAATTAAAATTAAATTAAATTAAAATTAAATTAAATTAAAATTAAATTAAAATTAAATTAAAATTAAATTAAATTAAATTAAAATTTAAAAAGCCAGACATCTTGTCTTGGGCCACCTGTCTGAGCTTGGAACCCAGGAGGGATACTCCCCACGGTGTACACCCGTGAAGCCCCCTCTCAACACCGATCCCTTTGCTGAATACAAAAGGCTCTTCATTTCCAGAGTATAAAGTAGATCTCTCTTGAATTTCTAGATATCCTCAGACAATAACAACCAATCATTAGAGGTGGCCCCACAGCCTTGCTCCCCAGTAGGGTGGAAGGCAGAGGCGCTCAGAGGCACCCCCAGCTCGGGGGCGAGTCACCTATGACCACAATTGCCATCATTAGTGAGCTGGGCTCAGCTCCTCAGAAGCTGGAAAGCACGCTCGCAAACACCCTTTGATCATTTCTATTTCTAGGCCTTGAGTGATTCAATAAAACATACCTCTAAATTCAGATCCTTTCTGCGATGCCCTGTTTCGACTTTGAAGTTAAATTATCTAAAAGGAGTAACTGCCTAAGTTTTCTAGGCAAACTTCTCCATACTCGCGGCTTTTTCGTGGGAACTGCACTCACTGAAAGCAAGGTAATGTTCCTGCAAAATAGTATAAAGAGGCCGGTCGGGTGCTACGGTTCGTGCCTGTAATCCCAGCACTTTGGGAGGCTGAGGTGGAAGGATTGCTTGAGCCCAGCAATTGGAGAGCACCCGGAGCAACATAGCAAAACCCCAGGTCTATAAAAAATAATTTTTTGGCCAGGAGCAGTGGCTCACACCTGTAATCCCAGCACTTTGGGAGGCTGAGGCGGGTGGATCACCTGAGGTCAGGAGTTCGAGACCAGCCTGGCCAACATGGAGAAACCCCATCTCTACTAAAAACACAAAAATTAGCTGAGCGTGGTGATGGGTGCCTGTCATCCCAGCTATTCAGGAGGCTAAGGCAGCAGAATCGCTTGAACCCAGGAGGCAGAGGTTGCACTGAGCCAAGATTATGCCATTGCACTCCAGCCTGTGCAACAGAGTAAGATTCTGTCTCAAAAAAAAAAAAAAAAAAAAAACCAGAAAGAAAATTAGCTGGGCATGGTGGCGGGCACCTGTAATCCCAGCTACTCAGGAGGCAGAGGCAGGAGAATCACTTAAACCCAGGAGGCAGAGGTTGCAGTGAGCTGAGATCACACCACTGCACTCCAGCCTGGGCGACAGAGCAAGACTCCATCTCAAAAAAAAAAAAAAAGAAAAAAGAAAAAAGAAAATTAGTCTGGCATGGTGGGCACCTGTAATCTCAGCTACTCAGGAGGCTGAGGCAGGAGAATCACTTAAACCCAGGAGGTGGAGGTTGCAGTGAGCCGAGATCTCACCATTGCACTCCAGCCTGGGCGACAGAGCAAGACTCCATCTCAAAAAAAGAAAATTAGCCTGGCATGGTGGGCACCTGTAATCTCAGCTACTTGGGAGGCTGAGGCAGGAGAATCACTTGACCTCAGGAGGCGGAGATTGCAGTGAGCTGAGATCGTGCCACTGCACTCCAGCCTGGGCAACAGAGCGAGACTCCATCTCAAAAAAAAGAAAGAAAGAAAGAAAAAAGAAAAGAAAATTAGCTGAGTGTGGTGGGGGGTGCCCGTAATCCCAGCTACTCAGGAGGCTGAGGCAGGAGAATCGCTTGAACCCAGGAGGTGGAGGTTGCACTGAGCCGAGATTACACCGTTGCACTCCAGGCTGGCTGACAGAGCGAGACTCTTTCTAAAAAAAAAAAAAAAAAAAAAAAAGCCTATTCCCATCATATACGAAATGTGTAGAACAGGCAAACCCATAGAGACAGAAGGAAGATTTTGAGTTGCCTGGGAATGGGGAGGGAAAATGGGCAGTTCTTCTCCTGGCTCTGTTTTTGAGGGATGACAATATTCTGGTATTATGTAGATGATATGCTACCACAACAAGGTGAATTCAGTAAATACCAACAAATCCTTCTGCTTGAAAGGGTTGCTGGCTGCGTTGCCTCACCTGTGTAATTGCAGCACTTTGGGAGGCCGAGGCAGGAGGATCGCTTGAGACCAGGAGTACAAGATGGGCCTGGGCAACACAGTGAGACCCTGTCTCTACCAAGAAAATAGTAATAATACAAAAATTAGCCAGGCATGGTGGGGCATGCCCACGGTCTCACCTACTCAGGAGGCTGAGGCAGGAGGATCACCTGAGCCCAGGACATTGAGGCTGCAGTGAGCTGTGATTGCACCAGTGCACCCTAGCCTGGGCAGCAGAGCGAGACCCTGTCTCAAAATAAATACATAAGTAATAAAAATAAAATGGTTGATTGCATGTTTCGTGAAACTCACCTCAATTAAAAAAAAAAAAAAACTTAAAACAGAGTTCAGAGGCCAGGCATGGTGTCTCACGCCTATAATCCCAGCACTTTAGGAGGCCGAGGCAGGTGGATCACCTGAGATCAGGAGATCGAGACCAGCCTGGCCAACACGGCAAAACCACATCTCTATTTAAAAAATAAAAAAAATTAGCCAGGCGTGGTGGCCGGTGCCTGTAGTCTCAGCTACTCGGGAGGCTGAGGCAGTAGAATCGAACCCAGGAGTCGGAGGTTGCAGTGAGCCTAGGGTGCACCACTGCACTCCAGCCTGGACGACAGAGCGAGACTCCCTGTCAAAAAAAAAAAACAAAAAACAAAAAAACAAACAAACAAAAAAACCGAAAAACCCAGAGTCCACCGTGACTCTCACAGTCAGGACTGAGCCAGGAAGAATGGGATCAGGGTGTGGTATTCCTAGCCCTCGCCAGGCCATCCCCAAGGCTGCTGTCTGCAGAAATGGAAGTCACCCCCCGTAGCGCGTGAACTCAGAGCACTTTCAGCCAACAGCGCAGAAATCGCGGAAACAAAGGGAAAAAGAAAAGCCCTTTTTGAATATTTTGAATAAACAAAGGGAAAAAGAAAAGCCCCTTTTGGATATTTTGAATACAACTTGGGGTCTCCTGCTGCCTCGGCCATGCTGTGAACATAAATAAATCAACGCGGGGGTGTGTTGCATCCATTGGGATTGTCCCAAAAGCACAGAAAGAATCAGAAGACAGTGGCCTTTCTCAAGCATTAATATTTCACCAGGCTCAGGACCTCCCTGGATTACAAATTAACAGTAATCAGGTCCCAGGAGCTCTGCCCTCTCCCCACCCAAATCCATCATCGTTTTCCTGAAAAGCGTTTTTGTTTTGTTTTCTTTTTGCTGATTTGCTGATTTCACACCACCCTATCCCATGTAAAACTCCCTTCTTTTCTGAAAATGAGATTTTTATAATATAAATCAGAAGTGCTCGGTAAAAGAGGGTGTGAGCCCCACGCTGAGTCCCTGACTCCCCCAGCTACTCCCTCTCCAAACAGAGCCATTGATGGGGAAGCTTTGCCCTTTGACGCCCTTGAGATCATCGTGCTGTCCTGAGCGTCTGTCAACCCCAAATCCGGGGGAGGGCTCCAGCTAATTACAGATAGGCCCATCAAGGGTCGGGGCCCAGGTCTTCACATCCTCCACATTAATGCCCTCTTCTGACCTCCTTCCAACTCTGACAAAATATCTTCTCTGGCTGGAAAGTTCTGGGGCTTTCTATCAGGCTGCGAAGTTTGAAGCAAATTGGACAAGCCATTTTTGACTTACGAGGCCGTGAAAAATTAATATGTTTCTGAGTTCTGCGAAAGTGTCCAAACTTTTTCTGCTCATAACTCAAAAAAAAAAAAAAAAAAAGGAGGAGAAACTCATCTTTGGGGAGTTTTCTAACTTGCCCTGCACTCAGTCAAAAGAAAAGGGTTTTATTCCGTTTGCGTTGTGTTGTTTTGCTGTTTTGTTATTTTGCAGAGTTGGAAGGTATATCACGGAGATCCTGGTGGTGGGAATATTCTATGGTAAGGGTGTTCTCCCATAATGATATTAATTATAATTTAGCAGGTGTTTGAAGAACAACGGTCAGTATACACTGAATGTCGTGTTCCCCCGACAAATTGCTATGTTGAATCCCTAACCGCTAAGGTGATGGTGTTAGGAAGTAGAGTTTTGGAAGGTGATGAGATTGTGAGGATGAAGCCTCATGAATGGGATTAGTGCCTTTATAAAAATTACAGACCCCAGGCCTGTAATCCCAGCACTTTGGGAGGCCGAGGCTGGCAGATCACAAAGTCAAGAGATCGAGACCAGCCTGGCCAACAATGGTGAAACCCTGTCTCTCCTAAAAATACAAAAATTAGCCAGGCGTGGTGGTGGACACCTGTAATCCCAGCTACTTGGGAGGCTGAGGCAGGAGAATCCCTTGAATGCGGGTGGCAGAGGTTGCAGTGAGCTGAGATCGCACCACTGCACTCCAGCCTGGCAACAGAGCAAAATTCCATCTAAAAAAGGAAAAAAAAAAAAAAAAGGAGTGGGGGACCCCAGGCCAGGCACGGTGGCTCATGCCTGTAATCCCAGCATTTTGGGAGGCCAAGGCAGGAGGATCACCTGAGGTCAGGAGTTCGAGACCAGCTTGGCCAACATGGTGAAACCCCATATGTACTAAAAATACAAGAATTAGCCAGGCTTGGTGGTGGACACCTATAATCCCAGCTACTTGGGAGGCTGAGGCGGGAGAGTCAGTTGAACCCAGGAGGCAGAGGTTGCAGCGAGCCAAGATCGTGCCATCGCACTCCAGCCTGGGGTACAAGAGCATAACTCCATCTCAAAAAAAGGGGGGACCTCAGAGAGCTCCCTCACCCCTTTCACCATATGAGGACACAGCCTGATGGCACCGTCTATGAATGAGCAAACAGGTCCCCATCAAACACAAAATCTACCACGCCTTGATCTGGGACTTTCCCCACCAAACACCAAATCTACCACGCGTTGATCTGAGACTTCCCAGCCTCTAGAGCTGTGAGCAGTAAATTCTTATTGTTTCTAAGCCATGCAGTCTATGGCATTCTGCCATATCAACACCAAGGGAGTAAGACAGCTGCCACCAGGTCTATGAGATTCTAGCTTCTATTTAGCAAAGGCTCAATGAAACCAGAAGAGAGGAAGATGTGTCCTGCTTTTCAATCCATGCCCCCTGCACTGTGAACCCAGTCACAATTCTTTCCTCTTACCCACACGTGGCCAATAGTTGGTCCTCTCTGTGGCTGTCCTGCCTCTGATTTGTGTCCACAGTGAACCCACCTCAAGGTTGCAACAAATCTCCTCTTCCTCTCCCACTGGCTGATCCTGTTGGTCATCGTGAAATGTTTCCTGAGGTTCCCAAAGCTCGCCCCACCCCAAACCGAGGGCACTTTCTTCCTGATGCCTGAGTTCCTCATGCTCCTTCCATGAACACGTGAGATGGGGAAGCTGAATCATCGTGCTGGGACTCGGAGCCTTGTCATTTTGGGGTCATTCCTGCCTCACACGTCTCAGTGGGAACCAGCGTCACCTCCCTCTTTGGCATCCTGGAGCCTCATACATTCTCTATCCCCCCCATCCTGGCATCCAGGGAGCTGGACTTTCTGCCCAGCACTTGGAACCTTGAGAGAATAAAGGAAATCAGCTGCAGGACAGAAATTCCTCATGACCACAGCAACATCTCCAGAGCCCAGAGGCAGCTTGGAGAGTCCTCCCCGACCACCTTCCTCCCTTGGGTTCTGCCCTGTTGTCTGAGTCTCCATCTTTGGGTTCCCTGCCAAGACTATAAATTCCCCTAATGTTTTTCCCATGAATTCCTTCCCTGGCTAAGCTATTGAGGTCTTCTCTGATCCTCTCATGTCCTTTTCCTTGTTCTCCTTAGACCTCGTCCACCTCCACTCCTTCTATATCCCACCCGTGTGTGGAGCATCTGCAGGGACACTCCGACTCCTAGGTTGCTTCCTCTGCAAGATCTGGGGTGATATTTTCAGCTGCCTGAATAACTCCTCCACGTGCAGCCTTGATGATTGAAGATAAGGTTATGCCACCTCCCAAAGAACAGGTCAAAGACTTGGTAGGACATTCAGATTGTCTCGTTATCTGCTGCACTTCTAATTACAAATCAGAGACCGATCCATCTTATCTGCAGGTTTAAAATGAAGCTACTTCTGCACATCACTTTGTGGTCAGACGGAGGGGAACTCTCCACTTTTAAATTCAAAGTTGAATTGAATGAACGAATGAATGAATGAATGAATGAGTACTTGATGGAGACTTTCTCACCTCCCTGGCTGAGAAAAACTCCAACATCCACTCCAAACATGCAAGCAACTAAGTAAATAAGTACATTTCTGGTGGGGCTATCTGTTTGCTCTCCAAAGAAAGCAAACTCAGCCGAGCATGGTGGCTCATGCCTGTCATCTCAGCATTTTGGGAGGCCAAGGCGGGAGGATCACCTGAGGTCAGGGGTTCAAGACCAGCCTGGCCAACATGGTAAAAACCCGTCTCTACTAAAAATACAAAAATCAGCCGGGTGTGGTGGCAGACACCTGTAGTCCCAGCTATTCAGGAGGCTGAGGCAGGAGAATCACTTGAACCCAGAAGGCAGAGGTTGCAGTGTGGTGTGGTGGCGGGTGTCTGTAATCCCAGCTACTTGGGAGACTGAGGCAGGAGAATCGCTTGAACCCCAGAGGTGGAGGTTGCAGTGAGCCGAGATTGCGCCATTGCACGCCAGCCTGAGCGACAAGGGTGAAACTCTATCTGAAAAATAAAATAAAATAAAATGGAAAGCAAACTCTCCCTTCTCTGCATGGAAATAAACTTATCTTCTCCTTTTTGTTGCTTCTGAAAAATGAGACAAAATGAAGAGAAGAGAATGATATATTGTGATGTGAAAACACACACACACACATACACAAATGTCTCTCTTTGCTCTGCACCAATTACTAAATGAAAGCCAGTTTAGTGAATGTTTAAACTTCTCCACCCTAGAGGTTGAGCTCTCTGGGTATAGAAACCTCTCACTATGTTTCAGCTCCTCTGTCTCAAAAAAAACCCAAAAGATAGATGGATAGATAGATGATAGATGGATGGATGGATTAGATGGATGGATGGATAGACAGATAGATAGATAGACAGACAAACAGACAGACAGACAGACAGACAGACAGATAGATAGAATTGCCGGGCACGGTGGCTCATGCCTATAATCCCAGCACTTGGGCAGGTTGACGCGGGTGGATCACGAGGTCAGGAGATTGAGACCATCCTGGCCAACATGGTGAAACCCCGTCTCTACTAAAAATATAAAAATCAGCCAGGTGTGGTGGCAGGTGCCTGTAGTCCCAGCTACTCAGGAGGCTGAGGCAGGAGAATCACTTGAACCCAGAAGGCAGAGGTTGCAGTGAGCCAAGATCACACCACTGCACTCCAGCCTGGGCGACAGAGTGAGACTCAGTCTCAAAAAGAAAGAAAGAAAGAAAGAAAATCTACAGCAAAGTACCACAAACCACAGGGCTTAAACAACAGACATTGATTTCTCACACACATGAAGACTGGAGGTCCAAGATCAAAGTAGCAACATCTCAGCTCCTGGTGAGGACTCCCTTCCTGGCTTGCAGACGGCAACCTTCTTGCTGTGTCATTCCATGGTGCGGGGTGGAGAGAAAGAGACAGAGAGAGAGACAGAGAGAGAGGAAGCTCTGGTGTCCCTTTTATGGGGATACTAATCCCATTCGTGAGACTCTACCATCACGACCTCCTCACCTCCCAAAGACCCCCCACTAGTAACACTCTGACCTTGGGGTTCAGGGTTTCAACGTAGGACTTGGCAGGACAAAGCATTCATTCGGTCTGCAGAAAAAGATCCACAAAGCCCCTTTGGAACCTGGACTGGGACACAGCCGTGCATCTGGGGAGGCTCCACCTCCCAGGTTCAAGCGATTCTCCTGCCTCAGCCTCCCAAGTAGGTGGGACTACAGGTGCCCGCCACCATACCCCGCTAATTTTTTGTATTCTTAGTAGAGATGGAGTTTTACCACGTTGGCCAAGATGGTCTCGATCTCCTGACCTCATGATCCACTCACCTCGGCCTCCCAAAGTGCTGGGATGCCAGGCGTGAGCCACCGCGCCCGGCCAACCACAGATTTTTTCCAAAGACTGAAACCAACAAACAAAAAAAATCACCAAAATTCACAAAAGTATGTCTGTTACAACTTCACACTCACCTTTCATACTTTTCATTTTCATTATAAAACATTGACGAGTCGCTTTTTCTGCCTCCAACAAGCAGTAGAAACACAACAAAATACCACGAAAAGTCCACATGCGTCTACTATGAAAGCAGGAACATCTAACAACCTAAGGGCCCCTTTGTACACGAAAAAAGGCAAAAATTAACATTTCACGCTAGACCAGGACAGCACAAAGGGAATATGGCCTGGGGCCTTCATCTCTTCATCCTCACGAATTACCATGTGTGGTTGGAGACATATGTGTGGTTTGTCTGCCTCACGTGGGTGTCTGTAAAGAAACGTCTGTCCCTGCGTCCAGGGCCCCTTTGAGCCTCACGCCTCTCCCCCCTGCACAGGTAGCTCCACGGAGCCTTGTGGAATCAGCCGAGGCCGGACGTGTGGTTTATGAGGCCTCCAGGGCCCTCAGGGTCGGCCTGCAGCCTGGGCTGGACGATCGCTGAGTAACATTTGCAGCAGCAGCAGCAGCCTGAGGAAGGGGTCAATGTTTGCCACGCAGATGTGTATGTCTGTGTGTGGGTGTGTGTGTGTACAGGTGTGCGTGCATGGGCCTGTGTATGTGTGTGTCTGTGCAGGTGTGTATGAATGTCTGTGTGTATATGTCTGTGTGTGGGTGTGAATGTATGTGTACAAGCGTGTGTGTGCACCTGTGTGTGCGTGGGTGTGTATCTGTGTGTGTATGAATGTGTGTGTGTACAGATGTGTATGTCTGTGTGTAGGTGTGAATGTATGTGTACAGGCGTGTATGTGCACCTGTGTGGGGGGGGTGTGTCTGTGTGTGTGTGTGTACAGGTGTGTATGTCTGTGTGTAGGTGTGAATGTATGTGTACAGGCATGTGTGTGCACCTGTGTGTGGGGGGTGTGTCTGTGTGTGCATGTGAATGTATGTGTACAGGTGTGTGTGTGCATGTGCCTCTGTGTGTGTGTGTGCAGGTGTGTCTGTATATGTCTGTGGGTGTGAACGTGTACAGGCGTGTGTACCCGTGTGTGTGTGCATGTGTGTATGAATGTGTGTGTACAGGTGTGTGTCTGTGTGTAGGTGTGAATGTATGTGTACAGGCGTGTGTGTGCACCTGTGTGTGTGGGGGGCTGTGTCTGTGTGTGCATGTGAATGTATGTGTACAGGTGTGTGTGTGCATGTGCCTCTGTGTGTGTGTGTGCAGGTGTGTCTGTGTATATGTCTGTGGGTGTGAACGTGTACAGGCGTGTGTACCCGTGTGTGTGTGCGTGTATGAATGTGTGTGTACAGGTGTGTATGTCTGTGTGTGGGTGTGAATGGATGTGTACAGGCGTGTGTGTGCACCTGTGTTCAGGTGTATATGAATGTGTGTGTCCTGGTGTGTACGTGTGGGGTTGTGAATGTGTGTGTACAGGAGTGTGTGCGCCTGTGTGTGGTGCAGGTGTGTATGAATGTGTGTGTGGGTGCGTATGTCTGTGTGTGGGTGTGAATGTATGTGTATAGGAGTGTGTGTACGTGTGTGTGTGTGCAGGTGTGTATGAATGTATGTCTGTGTGTTGGTGTGAATGTGTGTGTACAGATGTGTGTGTAGGTGCGTACGAATGCATATGTGTGTCTGGGTGTGAATGTATGTGTACAGGCATCTGTGTGCCTGTGTGTGTGTGGGTGTGTATGTCTGTCTCTGTGTGCACAGGCCAGGGAAGCTCACACACAAACAGCTGTCTTCTTTGATTCATCTCTGCCCCCACCCTGGTGCGTTGTGCAGAGTTCATTGCACCCCCAAAATACTCAGTGCCCCGGCGTGAACCCTGAGTGGCCCAGCCTGGGCAGGTGCATGTCTCCAACCCGCCGTGTGGAACCCGCCACACTCCTGAAGGAAACGGTCTTCCCAGCTGAGCAGGCTTGAACCTGCTGCCCTAGAGTCCTGGGTCTTCCTATTGGGCTCCTTTCCAGGGTACCTCCTGGGGTCTCTGCACCCTCCTCCAACACCAGCTCTGGGGTCTGTGTGAAGGTCATAAAAACACCAACCCTCCCAGCACTTTGGGAGGCCGAGGTGGGTGGATCACCTGAGGTCAGGAGTTCGAGACCAGCCTGGCCAACACGGTGAAACCCCGTCTCTACTACAAATACAAAATTAGCCCGGTGCGGTGGCAGGTGCTTGTAATCCCAGCTATTCGGGAGGCTGAGGCAGGAGAATGACTTGGATCCAGGAGGCGGAGGTTGCAGTGAGCTGAGATCACGCCACTGCACTCCAGCCTGGGCAACAGAGTGAGACTCTGTCTCAAAAAAACAAAACAAATCAAAAACGCCAGCCCACCCAGGCAATGCCTGTTGCGCACCCAGGACTCTGCATTCCAGGCACCAGAGGCAGGAAGCTTGACCGAGCTGGCCAGGAGAGAAGCAAAGCTGCCCGTGTCGACCTGTCCTTCACTGCGGGAATGCAGGTGCTCAGGTACGCCACCGTTTGTCCCCAGCTTCCTGGCCAGCCGCGGGAACCCCCTGCTGCTCCCTTTCTTGGGGACAGTGATGGGGACCGGGTGCTTTTGCTCCCCTGAGACTGTGACTGTGTTTTGAAGCTGCCGCCAGGATGCCAGCGGCTCCGTCCCAGCAAACAGGCCACATAGCCGGGCGCGGTGGCTCACGCCTGTCATCCCAGCACTTTGGGAGGCCGAGGCGGGCTGATCCGGAGGTCAGGAGTTCGAGACCAGCCTGGCCAACATGGTGAAACCCCGTCTCTACTAAAAATACAAAAAATTAGCTGGGCGTGGCGGCGGGCGCCTGTAGTCCCAGCTACTCGGGAGGCTGAGGCAGGAGAATGGCTTGAACCCGGGAGGTGGAGGTTGCAGTGAGCCGAGATCACACCCCTGCACTCCAGCCTGGGCAACAGAGCGAGACTCCATCTCAAAAACTAAAAATAAAAATAAAAAAAACAGGCCACATGTGTGCACAGTGAGGCTCTCCAAGCCCATCGCTGTCCCAGGAAATGTTAACAGCTCCCCGAGCTCTGCTCCTCATCCAGGACCCCAGACCGACTTCTCCTCGACAGCCCTGGGACAGACACGACCGCGGCCTCCTCCTCCCCCTCCTCCCCTCTCCGCCTCTTCGGCAGAGGCCCCCACGTCCGCACGATCGGGAACAAACATCCTTTCTGATTCAGCATCACGTTACCTGCCAGTCCTGTGGCCTTTCCTCATCTGGTTGCACGTACCTCATATGCTTTGTGGTTAAATTATGCATTAAGGTCAATGTCAAAACACAGCAGCCCCGTAACCTGCAGGGAACTGGCTTTTACTCGTGATCACGGTGAAACGGGGGCCGCCTGTCAGCCAGCCGGGGTGGGCGCCCAGCGTGGGGGGCCCCCGTGCCGTGGCGTTGTCTACAAAGGCGGCCCGTCGTCTCCCAGGACGCACCCTTGATGGATTTACCCAGACAACGCGCCTCTCTTGAAAGGCGTCTGCCCTGCCTCTTCCATCTGAAACCTGTCAGCCTCACCTATAGACTCACGTCGGAAATCAAACAGCAGAGGCTGCGCGTGCCTGGGACGCTCCACGTGTCATGTCCTGACTTGTAGTTTCAGATCTTCTAAAGGAAAACGGTGTCAGAAGAAGGAAGGCCGGGAGGAGTGTGCTGTTCCGTGTTTGCTTTATCTTTTTTTACCCCTTAAAAAAAATAAAAATAAAAAAAAAATAAAAAGTTGCCGCATATTCCGGAAGCCGCCGTGGGCCTCGTGGTAGATGAAGCACGTCGGGGTGTTGAAGGAGGCGGCTCTGGGAGTGGGTGGGGGGTGGCGGGGGGTGGCGGGCCCCGGGGAGCTGCGGGAACCTCCTGGAAACTGCAGGAATTTGTGCAGGACGTATATTGATTGTGACTCTTGGGGGTTTTTCTTTCCTTTCTTTGGTTTCATTTCCTCCTTCCCTCCCTCCCTTCCTTCCTTCCCTGTCTCTGTCTCTGTCTGTGTCTCTGTCTCTCTGTCTCTCTGTTTCTCTGTCTCTGCCTCTCTCTGTGTCTCTCTGTCTCTCCATCTCTCTGTCTGTCTCTCTCTGTGTCTGTCTCTGTCTCTCTGTGTGTATCTGTCTCTCTGTCTCTGTCTCTCCATCTTTGTCTCTCTGTCTCTCTCTGTGTCTCTGTCTCTCTCTGTGTCTCTGTCTCTCTCCATCTCCATCTGTCTCTCTCCGTCTGCTGTCTCTGTGTCTCTGTCTCTCTGTGTGTATCTCTCTGTCTCTCTCTGTCTCTCTGTCTTTGTCTCTCTCTGTGTCTCTACGTCTCTCTGTATCTGTATCTCTCTGTCCCTCTCTGTCTCTCTCTGTCTCTCCATCTTTGTATCTCTCCCTCTGTCTCTGCCTCTCTGTCTTTCTGTCTCTGTCTCTGCCTCTCTCTGTGTCTCTCTGTCTCTCCATCTCTCTGTCTGTCTCTCTCTGTGTCTCTCTGTCTCTGTCTCTCTGTGTGTCTCTGTCTCTCTGTCTCTGTCTCTCCATCTTTGTCTCTCTGTCTCTCTCTGTGTCTGTCTCTCTCTGTGTCTCTGTCTCTCTCCATCTCCATCTCTCTCTCTCTCCGTCTGCTGTCTCTGTCTCTGTCTCTCTGTGTGTATCTCTCTGTCTCTCTCTGTCTCTCCGTCTTTGTCTCTCTCTGTGTCTCTACGTCTCTCTCTGTATCTGTATCTCTCTGTCCCTCTCTGTCTCTCTCTGTCTCTCCATCTTTGTATCTCTCCGTCTGTCTCTGCCTCTCTTTCTTTCTCTGTCTCTGCCTCTCTCTGTGTCTCTTTCTCTGTCTCTCCATCTCTCTTTGTCTCTCTGCGTCTGTCTCTCTTTCTCTCTCTCTATCTCTCTTTCTCTTTGTCTCTGTCTCTCTGCCTCTCTCTTTGTCTCTGTCTCTGTGTCTCTCTCTCTTTCTCTCTGAGCCAGTTCATCCTCCCCTGGTGCCTAGTTTTTAGGGGATTTTGAGCGTAATAAAAACTGATTCCTGGCCGGGCGCAGTGGCTCACACCTGTCATCCCAGCACTCTGGGAGGCTGAGGCAGGCGGATCCCCTGAGCTCATGAGTTCGAGACCAGCCTGACCAACATGGTGAAACCCCATCTCTACTAAAAATACAAAATCAGCCGGGCGTGCTGGCAGGTGCCTGTCATCCCAGCTACTCGGGAGGCTGAAGCAGGAGAATGGCTTGAACCCGGGAGGCGGAGGTTGCAGAGAGCCGAGATCACGCCCCTGCACTCCAGCCTGGGTGACAGAGCGAGACTCTATCTCCAAAAACAAAAAAGAGAGAGAGAGAGAGAGAGAGAGACAGGGTGTTGCCCTGTCACCCAGGCTGGAGTGCAGTGGCGCAATCACAGCTCACCGCCGCGTCCACCTCCCGGCCTCACACCATCCTGCGGTCTGGACGGGTCCCCGGGACACCCCTGTCTTTTCCCTCAGCTCTGCATTTTCCCAGTGAATTCTCCTCTTTCCTGGGGCCTCACCCACACCCGGGACCTGGGGCCACCGCTCCTGCCCATCCCGGCGCCGGGCACCCATGGCCGGCCGTGAGTTCTGGTCCTTCACTGGCAAGGAGGCACCTCCCAGGACCGTATACAAACCTGTAGGTACAAATGTCATCCGTCCTCAGCTCGGGGAGACACAGGTGCCTCTCACGGCGCTGACAGCCCCGGCACGTGTCGTGGGCTGGGTCAAGAATAGAAGCTCCTTCCCCTACTGAGAATGACCGAGAATCAGTGGTGTTTTATCCTGAATTTGATATTCAGAGTCGAATGAACTGTTTTTTTTTTTTTTTCTTCCCCCAGCTCAACTCTCATCTATTTATCTTAAGGCAGACGATCGCTGTGATTTTATAAGAAAGCGCTCCCAATCAAAGCGTACCTATGCGGAGGTAATTAATACAAAGATTGCTGAATTAAAGATGTGAGTCTCCGCTCTCGGGCGAGGGGCCCAGGGACCCCGTCTCCCGGGCCCAAATTATGCCAGAGACAGACCAATTAACACCCCGCGTCATCCTCTTTTATGTTAACTTCAATGACGGCTTCTCACCATTTTTAAAGTTATTTTCTTCTTCGCCATCTCTGCACATCAAAGAGCCAGGCCGGAGAGGCTCCCGCAGGTGAGATCGGTGCCAGGAGACCCCCCGGGAGGGGACGACCGCCGCCCCAGGAACCCCCACACGGATCACTGTAGGGTCCGCCTCGGGGAGCGAAGACCCTCAGGGAAAGGGCCCTTCTGAGGGGAAATCCTGGTCAGCTTATTATTACTATTATTATTATTATTATTATTATTATTATTATACTTTAAGTTTTAGGGTACATGTGGACAATGTGCAGGTTTGTTACATACGTATACATGTGCCATGTTGGTGTAGCATTAGGTATATCTCCTAACGCTATTCCTCCCCCTTCCCCCCACCCCACAACAGTCCCCGGTGTGTGATGTTCCCCTTCCTGTGTCCAAGTGTTCTCATGGTTCAATTCCCACCTATGAGTGAGAATATGTTTGGTTTTTAGTCCTTGCGATAGTTTACTGAGAATGATGATTTCCAATTCCATCCACGTCCCTACAAAGGACATGAACTCATCCTTTTTCATGGCTGCATAGTATTCCATGGTGTATATGTGCCACATTTTCTTCATCCAGTCTATCGTTGTTGGACATTTGGGTTGGTTCCAAGTCTTTGCTATTGTGGACAGTGCCGCAATAAACATACGTGTGCATGTGTCTTTATAGCAGCATGATTTATAGTCCTTTGGGTATATACCCAGCAATGGGATGGCTGGGTCAAATGGTATTTCTAGTTCTAGATCCCTGAGGAATCGCCACACTGACTTCCACAATGGTTGAACTAGTTGACAGTCCCACCAACAGTGTAAAAGTGTTCCTACTTCTCCACATCCTCTCCAGCACCTGTTGTTTCCTGGGGGAGAGGGGAGGGACAGCATTAGGAGACATACCCAATGTAAATGACGAGTTAATGGGTGCAGCACACCAGCATGGCACATGTATACGTATGTAACTAACCTGCGCTTTGTGCACATGTACCCTCGAACTTAAAGTATAATAATAAAAAAGTAAAAAAAAAAAAATGCCATTGACAAACCCAACTCCCATCGCGGCTGCCTCCCAACCTCAAAACGGCCGTCTCAAAGCACAAAATGAAACCGCCTCTGCCGTCGCCTCTGTCCTCCTCACCAATCGCCAGGTGGGAGAGGTTTCCACGGGGTCCGTCTCCTCGTCTCTTGAAGTCCCTTCACGCAGCTCGGCCGCCAAAAGCTCCCGAGTTTCAGCGTCTTGACCGGTGAACGGGAGAAAACAGAACGGCCCAAGGTGTCATCCCAGGTCGGCGGGCAGCTGGTGACATTTCGGCTCAAGCACGCTGAGTAAGACTCACCGCCACACCAGGTCACAGAAAGTGGAAACGAAGCCCGGGCTGGGCAGTGTACGCTGCTGCTACAATGGAAGAATGGAAGCTTCCTTCCTTCCTTCCTTCCCTCCCTCCTTCCTTCCTTTCGTCCTTCCCTCCCTCCTTCCCCTTCCTTCCTTCGTTCCATCACTCCTCCCTTCCTTTCTTCCTTTGTTCATTGCCTCCTTCTTCCTTCTTCATTGCCTTTGCAGCAATGAAGGGATCATCCCTTGCCAGGTGCCAGCCTCCCATATAGATTCTCTCCTTCCTTCTGAGCCCCTGTTGGTGTTTGACTAATCCATGGGTCCATGCCCATGCCAAGATCCCAAAGACAGGTGCCAGCGTGCAAGGGTCATAATCAAGCCACTTAAAGAGCTGTTGGGCCGGGCGCAGTGGCTGACGCCTGTCATCCCAGCACTTTGGGAGGCCGAGGCAGGCGGATCACGAGGTCAGGAGATCGAGACCATCCTGGCTAACACGGTGAAACCCGGTCTCTACTAAAAATACAAAAAAGTATCCGGGCGTGGTGGCGGGCACCTGTAGTCCCAGCTACTCGGGAGGCTGAGGCAGGAGAATGGTGTGAACTCGGGAGGCGGAGCTTGCAGTGAGCCGAGATGGCACCACCGCACTCCAGCCTGGGCGACAAGAGCACGACTTTGTCTCAAAAAAAAAAAAAAAAAAAAAAAAAAACAAAAAAAAAACAAGATTTCAGAGTGACCTGCTTGGAGAAGCCGGTATGAGCTCATGGGCAACTGTGTCTCTAAGTGCGGCCGTCCTCTTAATTCCTTAGTGCAGTGTGGTTCTCAGCCAGGGGACATCCTGCCCCCTCCCCGGACACACTCAGCAATATCAGGGGACATGTCTGCATGTCACAACATGGGGGTGAACTGGCATCTGCTGGGTGGAGCCCAGGGACGCTCCTCAGCACCCTACAGCGCCCAGGACGGCCCCACCACAGAGTCAACACCCTACAGCTCCCAGGACGGCCTCATCACAGAGACTCAACACCCTACAGCGCCCAGGACGGCCCCACCACAGAGTCAACACCCTACAGCTCCCAGGACGGCCTCATCACAGAGACTCAGCACCCTACAGCGCCCAGGACGGCCCCACCACAGAGTCAACACCCTACAGCTCCCAGGACGGTCTCATCACAGAGACTCAGCACCCTACAGCGCCCAGGATGGCCCCACCACAGAGTCAACACCCTACAGCTCCCAGGACGGTCTCATCACAGAGACTCAGCACCCTACAGCGCCCAGGACGGCCCCACCACAGAGTCAACACCCTACAGCTCCCAGGACGGCCTCATCACAGACACTCAACACCCTACAGGGCCCAGGACGGCCTCATCACAGAGACTCAGACTCAACACCCTACAGTGCCCAGGACGGCCTCATCACAGAGACTCAGCACCCTACAGTGTCCAGGACGGCCTCATCACAGAGACTTAACACCCTACAGGGCCCAGGACGGCCTCATCACAGAGACTCAGACTCAGCACCCTACAGTGTCCAGGACGGCCTCATCACAGAGACTCAGCATCCTACAGGGCCCAGGACGGCCTCATCACAGAGACTCAGACTCAACACCCTACAGAGCCCAGGACGGCTTCATCACAGAGACTCAGTACCCTACAGTACCCAGGACGGCCTCATCAAGAGAGTTAGCACCCTGCAGCACCCAGGGTGGCCCCAAGACAGAGAGTCCTCCAGTCCCAAACATCAGCAGTGCCAGAGCTGAGAAAGCTGCCTGGGCATGAGAGATTCTTTATCTATCATCTATCAATTATTGATTAATCAATTATCTATCTATTAATCAGCTATCCATTACTATCGGTCAATTATCTGACAACCAATCATCTGTCAATCATGCATCTATATCAATTACCTATCAACCAATCACTGATCAGTCATACATCTATATAAATTATCAATCATCTGTCAATCAATTCCCTATCAATCATGCATCTGTATCGCTTATGTATCAATTGTCTGTCAATAAATCATCTATCAATCATGCATCTATACCAATTATCTGTCAATTATCAACCATCTATTAATCATGCATCTATATCAATTATCAATCATCTGTCAACCAATCATCAATCATACATTTCTATTAATGTCTATCAATTATCTGTCAATCACCTATTAATCATGTGTCTATATCAATTATCTGTCAACCAATCATCTATCAATCATACATTTATATTAATGCCTATCAATTATCTGTCAATCACCTATTAATCATGCATCTATATCAATTATCTATCATCTGTCAACCAATCAATCATACATTTATATTAATGTCTATCATCTGTCAATCACCTATTAATCATGCATCTATATCAATATCTATCCATCAACTATCTGTCAACCAATCACCTATCAATCATACATGTATGAATCAACTGTGTATCCTATGGTTTGAATCAATGTGTCCTCCGAGTGAGAACATGTCCCCGACACCCCACAGGGCACAGGACGCCCCACGACGGAGAATCCTCCAGCCCCCGATGTCGGCAGATGTGAGGCTGAGAAACCAGCCTTCGTGAGAAGTCACCTGCCTGATCCCAAAATCCCTGCCGACAGCCACCTTCTCACCCTGGCGACAGAGGAATAGGACTTCGTGGCCACAACCCAGGACCCCACGACTGGGCATTAAACCGGCAGGCGAGGAGACACACGTGTGTTTAACACGAGGCTTTTCTTGAGGAGTCTCGGGCTCGTCCTGGACGTCAGCCGTGCGGGTCCCCTGTGAGATGAGCTATTTTCAGCTGAGACTCCCCAGGAAGGGGGCAGTGACCCCCTGCCTGGTCCAGGGTTCCCAGGGCCAGGCTGGAGGCTGGATTCTTTCCCAGGACCCCCCGAGTTTCAGGGGGAGAGACCCTCTCCTGCGTCCCCAGCCTCATACACACGAGCCCTTTTTTGTTTGTTTGAGATGGAGTCTCGCTCTGTCGCCCAGGCTGGAGTGCAGTGGTGCGATCTCAGCTCACTGCAACCTCCGCCTCCCGGGTTCATGCCATTCTCCTGCCTCAGCCTCCCGAGCAGCTGGGACTACAGGTGCCCGCCACCACACCCGGCTAATTTTTTTCTTGTATTTTTAGTAGAGACGGGGTTTCACCATGTTAGCCAGGCTGGTCTTGATCTCCTGACCTCAAGTGATCCACCCACCTCGGCCTCCCCAAGTGCTGGGATGACAGGCGTGAGCCACCGCGCCCGGCCAACAGGTGAGACATCTTTATGTGCACAGTTCCGGGGTAACAAGCACGCTCACACTTTTCTGCAACCATCCCCGTGATTTGTCTCCAAAATTCCACTTCTAAACCCGAAACTGCGACCCCCCCCTTCAACGACAGCTCCATTCGCCCTCCTCAGCCCCCGGCACCCACCGTTATACTTTCTGTCTCTGTGACTCTGGTGACTCGAGGGACCTCCTCGAAGTGGAATCACACAGGACTTGTCTTTCTGTGTCTGGCTGATTGGTCAATATTGTCAAGCTTCTTCCACATGGTAGCAGGTGTCAGAATAGCCTCCCTTGTTAAGGAGTCTCGCTCTGTTGCAGGCTGGAGTGCGATGGGGCAATCTCGTCTCACTGCAACCTCCGTGTCCCAGGTTCAAGCAATTCTCCTGCCTCAGCCTCCTGAGTAGCTGGGATTACAGGCACCTGCCACCACTCCCAGCTAATTTCTTTTGTATTTTAGTAGAGACGGGGTTTCAACATGTTGGCCAGGCTGGTCTCGAACTCCTGAGCTCAGGCAATCTGTCCGCCTCAGCCTCCCAAAGTGCTGGGATGACAGGCGTGAGCCACTGTGTCCAGCCTTTTTTTCTTTTTTTGAGATGGAGTTTCACTCTCGTTGCCCAGGCTGGAGTGCAATGGTGCGATCTCAGCTCACTGCAACCTCCACCTCCCAGGTTCAAGCAATTCTCCTGCCTCAACCTCCTGAGTAGCTGGAACTACAGGCACCTGCCACCACTCCCAGCCAATTTCTTTCGTATTTTAGTAGAGACGGGGTTTCGCCATGTTGCCCAGGCTGGTCTCGAACTCCTGACTTCTGGTGATCCACCCGCCTCGGCCTCCCAGAGTGCTGGGATGACAGGCGTGAGTCACTGCGTCCGGCCACTTCTTACATGATTTCTGCAAAACCCTCAGCAATAAAAAATAGGCCAGGCACAGTGGCTCACGCCCATCATTGCAGGACCCTGGATGGCCGAGGCAGGAGGATCGCTTGAGGTTAACAGTTCAAGACCAGCCTGGACAACACAGTGAGGCCCCATCTCTACAAAAACTGTAAAAATCGGCCCAGCGTGGTGGCGGGCACCTGTGGTCCCAGCTCCTCCGGAGGCTGAGGCAGGAGAATCGCTCGAGCCCAGGAGGTGGAGGCTGCGGTGAGCCGACATCACACCCAGACTCCAGCCTGGGTGACAGAGCGAGACCCTGATTTGAACAGGCTCTGAGGTTCTATGACTGGACAACAGCCTCGGGTCCCGGCCGCCACCATCCCAAGGGCCCCCCTCTCTGTCCTGGGCCGTTTTTGCAGCTCGACGAGTCAGGGTGACGCTTTTCCATGGATCTAAGTTCATGTGAGACAGCTGTAAACAAATGCTGGAGGGGTGACCTCGAGGGGTGCCTGTTTCCGTCCCTGCCTCACAGATGGGGAAACTGGGGTGCAAAGATGGTGAGACACGCCCCCCTCAACGAGGCCACAGAGCTGGCAGGAGGCTCAGCCAGGACACGGTGCAGATGCCAGGCTGTCCAGGAAGAAAGGAAGGAAGAGAGGCAGGGAGGGAGGAAAGGAAGGAGGGAGGAAAGGAGGGACGGAGGAAAGGAAGGAGGGAGGAAAGGAAGGGAGGGAGGAAACAGGCTGCAGTGAGCCGAGATCACACCCAGACTCCAGCCTGGGTGACAGACCCTGATTGGAAACTGTCCAAACGCTGAGCCGTCTAGACGTCGAGCCGAGGCCACTCAGGTCAGCAGCAGCACATGCTGTGTGCCCACGAAGACGATTATTCTAAGGGAGAATCTCAGGGAGGATGTTTGTGGACTTTTGTAGCCACTTAAACAATTTCTACAAAAGAAATAATAAAATAAAATAGGCCCGGTGCGGTGGCTCACACCCGTCATCCCGGCACGTTGGGAGGCTGAGGTGCTGGACGGCTTGATCCCAGGAGTTCAAGACCAGCCCAGGCAACATGGAGAAACCCCGTCTCTACAAAAAATACAAAAAAATACAAAAAAATGAGTTGGGCGTGGTGGCAGGTGCCTCTGGTCCCGGCTACTCGGGAGGCTGAGGCGGGAGGATCACTTGAGGCCACAGTAGCCGGAGGCTGCTCTGAGCCGAGATCATTCCCGCCGTGCTCCAGCCCCCGGATGACAGAATGAGACCCTGTCTAGAAAAGCAAACCACAAAAAAAATAAACTTTTTGAGGAAAACCCCAACAGACCTCCAGAGCCCGTGTGAGGAGGGGTGTCTGCAGGCAAAGCCGGGAATGGGAGTCTTTTGCCCAAGAGGCCCTGGCGGCCGCCTGCTGCGTCTACAGACACGGAAATGTGTCCTTGGCCTTTTCTGCACAGCTTGGGACCCGGGTCCGAGAAGCGGCTTCCTCCCTCGGAATCTTGCAAGTGTGGGAGGGAACGGGGCGGCTGAGGAGATGACGGTGCAAAGTGAAACGCGGCTGATTTTCCTCTCCTGGGCTAGACCATTGCTCACTCCCGACAGCTTCTGTTCTGTGACGGGAGCGTCAGAAACACAGTCGAGCAAAGGTTTCACGACGTCAGTTCCGAAGTAGCCGGTTACGGGGCCTGAACGGCACGGGGTTGGCAGCCGGGGGAGGGATGGGGCTTGAACCCGGTTTGGGATGAATGTAAAGACCTGAGCCCCGGCCCACGAGGCGGGAAGGCGGTCCCGGGGTTCGCAGCCCGGGGACCCACAAGGCTGAAGGCAGTGACGTGTTTCAAAACTCAGCAAAGGGTCCGACAACGGTCCACCGTTTCCGTAGCTGGCACTGCCATCCTGTGGCCGAAGAGAAAATATGTCATGGAAAACGCGGGGCCGGGGCGGCCGTCCTGTCTCTGGGGCGTCCGTGCTGTCTCTGGGGTGTCCGTCCTGTCTCTGGGGCGTCCGTCCTGTCTCTGGGGCGCCCGTCCTGTCTCTGGGGCGTCCGTCCTGTCTCTGGGGCGTCCGTGCTGTCTCTGGGGCGTCCGTCCTGTCTCTGGGGCGTCCGTGCTGTCTCTGGGGCCTCCATCCTGTCTCTGGGGCGTCCGTCCTGTCTCTGGGGCGTCCGTGCTGTCTCTGGGGTGTCCGTCCTGTCTCTGGGGCGTCCGTCCTGTCTCTGGGGCGTCCGTGCTGTCTCTGGGGCCTCCGTCCTGTCTCTGGGGCATCCGTGCTGTCTCTGGGGTCTCCGTCCTGTCTCTGGGGCGTCCGTCCTGTCTCTGGGGTCTCTGTGCTGTCTCTGGGGGCGTCCGTCCTGTCTCTGGGGCATCAGTCCTGTCTCTGGGGCGTCCGTCCTGTCTCTGGGGTCTCCGTGCTGTCTCTGGGGGCGTCCGTCCTGTCTCTGGGGCATCAGTCCTGTCTCTGGGGTGTCCGTCCTGTCTCTGGGGGTGTCCGTGCTGTCTCTGGGGTCTCCGTGCTGTCTCTGGGGCGTCCGTCCTGTCTCTGGGGCGTCCGTCCTGTCTCTGGGGTGTCCGTCCTGTCACCCGTGTGCCTTTCATGTCACTGGAGTGGCCGTCCTGATTCCAGATTCTGATCCCGGCACAGGGAGCATAACCTTGAGCCTGTCTGGGAGGGAAGGAGCCCAGCCCTGCCATAGTTGTACATTGCTTGCATGTGAGTCACGACTGTGGAAACTCCGAGATGGACCAGACAGTCTGTGTTTAGGGAACCATTGCTTTTCATGAGGGACGTGTGCGATCAATATTTTTAAGAGATATTCACTGAAGTACTATCAGCATGAAAATCATTTTCTAATGGGTTAAATATACATCTAGATCATATATATCTCTATATGCACAAATACCTCCACACCTGTATAAATGCATATATACATACAAGGGATGTGTCTGTGTGTCTGTGTGTGTGTGTGGAGTTAGAGCTAGAAAAGAGATATTCACTGAAATATTAGCAATGGAAATCATGTTCTAATGGCTTAAATATACGTATATATCATATATATCTATATATGCACAAACACCTCCACACCTGTATAAATGCGTATATACATACAAGCTGTGTGTGTGTGTGTGTGTGTGTGTGTGTGTGTGGAGAGAGAGAGAGTGAGAAGGAGAGACAGAGGCAATTTGGTTGAGAATTATGTCCCCCCCAAAAGACGTCTTGGCCAGACGCGGTGGCTCACACCTCTAATCCCAGCACTTTGGGAGACCAGAGCGAGAGGAGGCCTTGAGCCCAGGAGTTCAACACCAGCCTGGGCAACGTAGCAAAGACGTCATCTCTACAAAACATTAGAAAATTAGCCCGGCACATGCCTGTGGTCTCCGCTGCTCGGGAGGCTGAGGCGGGAGGACGGCTTGAGCCCAGGAGTTGGAGGCTGCTGTGAGCCGAGATGGCACCACTGCACTCCAGCCTGGGTGACAGAGCGAGACCCTGTCTTAAAAATAAATAAATAGAAAAGAAGAGCCTGAGGCAGAGGAGAGAGGCAGCTTGCAGCCTGGGACCCGCGTCTACACCGCCAACAGCCTCTAAGGCTCTACGACCGGACAACAGCCTCGGGTCCCGGCCGCCACCATCCCAAGGGCCCCCCTCTCTGTCCTGGGCCGTTTTTGCAGGTTGACGAGTCAGGGTGACGCTCTTCCATGGATCTAAGTTCATGTGAGACAGCTGTAAACAAATGCTGGAGGGGTGACCTCGAGGGGTGCCTGTTGCCGTCCCTGCGTCACAGATGGGGAAGCTGAGGTGCAAAGATGGTGAGACACGCACCCCGCCCCCCTCAACGAGGCCGCAGAGCTGGCAGGAGGCTCAGCCAGGACACGGTGCAGATGCCAGGCTGTCCACAAAGAAAGGCAGGGAGGGAGAGAGGGAGGAAATTGGAAGGAAGGAGGGAACGAAAGGACGGAGGGAGGGAGGAAAGAAGGAAGGAAGGAGGGAGGCAGGAAGATTCCGTGTGAATTCACGCCATGAACAAACACTCCCTGAGCCCATCCTCCACGGCCCGTTCTGCTCCAACCCCGGGATGAACCATGACCTCAGCTGACCGGGCCTTTGGGGGGTCCTGGTGTCCCCTCCCCCAACCCCGGGATAAACCATGACCTCAGCCGACCAGGCCTTTGGGGGGTCCTGGTGTCCCCTCCCCCAACCCCGGGATGAACCATGACCTCAGCCGACCAGGCCTTTGGGGGGTCCTGGTGTCCCCTCCCCCAACCCCGGGATGAACCATGACCTCAGCCGACCAGGCCTTTGGGGGGTCCTGGTGTCCCCTCCCCCTAGAATGGCTCAGGTGGGTTTTCCTCTGAGGTCAAGCCTGCATCCCGGGGACCCCGCCTCCGTGGGCAGCTGGTGGGATGGGCCGTCGCCGCCTCCCTGGAGAGCCGAGAATCCAGGGAGACACCCAACGTGAGGACGATGGTGACATCACGATGACAGTGAAGACCAGCCCTGCGGCCACCGCTCCAGCGACGGAAGCCAGGGACCCCCCCACCTCCATCCAAACCTTTCAGACGAGATTGGGTTGACTTGAGGCTGTGGCAAGGGGGTGTTTTCCTGGCTGATATGACAACACTTTGCACAGAGCCACCTCCAGGAATCGCCCCACAACTCCCGAGACCCACCGGCTCGTGCCTTTGGGGGCTCAGGAGAAGAGGGGCCCCCGGCACTCCGTTCACACGTGTGCGATGAGACACACCTGCCCCCCCACCCCCCACGTGGCTTCTAAACACGATGCACCCCCTCTGTCCCCACTGGAGTTTTCTCTGCATGCAGATGTGGCTTTCCTCTGCCTGGAACCCTCAGTACCGTCCCCAGCGGTCACCTAAGGTTCATCGGATGCAGGCGGGAAAGACATAAGCCCCAGAGGTGTTTTCCCTGTTTATTTTAGACAGTTTCTTTCTCTCACCCAGGCTGGAGTGCAGTGGTGCCATCTCAGCTCACTGCAACCTCTGCCTCCCGGGTTCAAGCGATTCTCCTGCCTCAGCCTCTCGACTAGCTGGGATTACAGGCGCCCGCCACCACACCCAGCTAATTTTTTGTATTTTTAGCAGAGGCGGGGGGGTTGCACCATGTTGACCAGGCTGGTCTCGAACTCTTGACCTCAGGTGATCCGCCCGCCTTGTCCTCCCAAAGTGCTGGGATGACAGGCGTGAACCACCGCACCCGGCCCCTCCCAGGTATTTATGCACCCACCGTCGACAGCCCTTGGTTGGGAGAGACTCTGGAGGGTGCGGTTAATTCTGTGGTTCTCCCAACCTACCACTCGGGAGGGCTCCATCACCCAGAGAGGCCCCTACGCACGCAAAGGAAGCTGGACTCGAGGTCTCCATGCTCTGAGCAAGAAAGAGAGCGGAGACACAGCTGCATACAGACCCCTTCCCTTTGTCCTTGTCATGGAGTATCTGAGCTCCCAATCAGCCCTGCAGGCTGCTGGGAAACCCTTCAACCCTCCACCTTGCCATCCTCCTCTCCACCCTAAGCCTGCCTCCCTGTCTCGGTTCTCGGAATACACAGAGGTTTTTCCCAGCTCAGAGTCTTTGCACACGCTGATCCTTCTTCCTGCATTGCTTTTCCCTGCGCACAGCCAGCTCCTCCTTCTTGCTTCTTTTCAGCACTTTTTTTTTTTTTTGGAGACGGAGTCTCGCTCTGTTGCCCAGGCTGGAGGGCAGTGGCACGATCTTGGCTCACTGCAACCTCTGCCTCCCGGGTTCAAGTGATTCTCCTGCCTCAGCCTCCCGAGTAGCTGGGACTACAGGTGCCCGCCACCATGCCCGGCTAATTTTTTGTATTTTTAGTAGAGATGGGGTTTCACCGTGTTAGCCAGGCTGGTCTCGAACTCTTGACCTCAGATGATCCACCCGCCTTGTCCTCCCAAAGTGCTGGGATGACTGGTGTGAGCCACCGCACGTGGCCTGCTTGTGATGAGTTCTTTTGGAGAAATGAATTCACGGGGTGTTGAGATGGGGAATAACAAGGGTACCAACTTTGGCTGCTCCTGGAGGTGTCTTTGAAGGGGTAATGATATTTTAAAAATGCTGAAGGGGCCAGGTACGGTGGCTCACGCCTGGAATCCCAGCACTTCGGGAGGCTGAGGTGGGAGGATGACTTGAGGCCAGGAGTTTGAGACCAGCCTGGGAAACCTAGCAAGACTCTGTCTTTATGAAAAAAAAAAAAAAAAATTAGCCAAACATGGTGACATGCACCTGCCATTCCAGCTACTCAGGAGGCTGAGGCAGGAGGATCCCTTGAACCCGGGAGTGGAGGTTGCAGTGAGCCGAGTTCGCCCATTGCACTCTAGCCTGGGCAATGAGAGCAAGACTCCATCTCAAAAAAAAAAAAAAAAAGGCCACGCACGGTGGCTCACGCCTGTCATCGCAGCACTTTGGGAGGCCGAGGTGGGTGGATCACCTGAGGTCAGGAGTTCGAGACCAGCCTGACTAACATAGTGAAACCCAGTCTCTACTAACAATACAAAATTACCCAGGAGTGGTGGTGGGCGCCTGTAATCCCAGCTACTCGGGAGGCTGAGGCAGGAGGATGCCTTGAACCCCGGAGCAGAGGTTGCAGTGAGCCGAGTTCGCCCACTGTACTCCAGCCTACACAGTAAGAGCAAGACTCTGTCTCAAAAAAAAAAAAAAAAATAGGCCAGGTGCGGTGGCTCATGCCTGTCATCCCAGCACTTTGGGAGGCTGAGGCGGGCAGATCATGAGGTTGGGAGTTCGAGACCAGCCTAACTAAGATAGTGAAACCCAGTCTCTACTAAAAATACAAAATTAGCCGGGCATGGTGGTGCACACGTGTAATCCCAGCTACTCGGGAGGCTGAGGCAGGAGGATGCCTTGAACCCGGAAGCAGAAGTTGCAGTGAGCCAAGATTGCACCATTGCACTCCAGCCTGGGCAATGAGAGCAAGACCATCTCAAAAAAAAAAAAAAAAAAAAGAAAAAGGCCAGACATGGCGGCTCACGCCTGTAATCCCAGCACTTTAAGAGGCCGAGATGGATGGATCACCTGAGGTCAGGAGTTCCAGACCAGGCTGACCAACATGGTGAAACCCCGTCTCTACTAAAAATACAAAATTACCCAGGCGTGGTGGCAGGTGCCTGTACTCCCAGCTACTCGGGAGACTGAGGCAGGAGGATGCCTTGAACCCGGAAGCAGAGGTTGCCGTGAGCCAAGATCACGCCATTGCTCTCCAGCCTGGGTAACAAGAGCAAGACTCTGTCTCAAAAAAAAAAAAAAAAAAAACTCATCACAAGCAGCAGTTAGATGCTATTTTCTTTGTCTACTCACTCCTGATCTCTGCACTAGAGAGGAGGGAACCTCACACACCCCACCACGTACCCAGCACCCGGAACAGCACTCACAGCTCCGTGGACACTCAACAAGCGTTCACTGAAAGCCCCACTCAGCCAGGGCAGGGCCGGGAGGCTGTGACAGAAAGGAGAAAGAAGACGCGCATTTGGGGACAGCTCCCCAGGGGCCCGTCCATCAGCCAGGACCACTTCCAGGCTGTGTTTTTCTTCCCCGTCTCCGAGGCCGAGCAGGTGATAAATCTTTCACCGAAGCCGGGGCTTTGCAGGACGGAGCCGGCTGCCACCTACGTGGTGTGGCTCTGGGGACCCCAGGAACTCCCCACACGCCGTCCGCGTCCAGAAATCCCCCTGCCCCACCCCAACCCGGCCGCAGGTGCCTCAAAGTCCTTCCTTTCTTCCTCAGGGTAAGAAATTAACGGCAGCTGTGAAAACACTCATTTTATCTGGGTGGCGAAATACATTAGACAGGGGCCCTGCCGTTAACACCTTCGCCCCAAGGAGTTTATCCGGATTCCCGTCAGGACCTGGGAGGTCTGGACAGAGAAGGCTCCGGGGTCCCAAGAACCAGGACAGACGGGAGGCGGGAGCAGGTGGGGGCTCTGAGAGTTTGCAGAGCGAAAGTGTTCTCACAAGGAGGGCGCTGGCGCAGGACCTCCAGCCAGGAATGCAGGGACGTCCCTTAGACGTTCTCCGACGGCCCCTCACGAGACCCTGACGTCCTGGCCTGTGTGCTGTCTGCAGCATGAAAACAGTTGTTTTTATTATTATTATTATTATTATTATTATTATTATATTATTTTTGAGACAGAGTTTTTGCTCTGTTGCCCAGCCTGGAGTGCAGGGGTGCGATCTCGGCTCACTGCAACCTCCGCCTCCCGGGTTCAAGCGATTCTCCTGCCTCAGCCTCTCCTGAGTAACTGGGATTGCAGGCACCTGCCACCACCACGCCCGGCTAATTTTGTATTTTTAGTAGAGACAGGGTTTCTCCATGTTGGTCAGGCTGGTCTCGAGCTCCCTACCTCATGATCCGCCCGCCTCGGCCTCCCGAAGCGCTGGGATGACAGGCGTGCACCACCATGCCCGGCTAAGTTGGTATTTTTAGTAGAGACAGGCTTTCTCCATGTTGGTCAGGCTGCTTTTGAGCTCCTGACCTCGTGATCCGCCCGCCTCGGCCTCCCAAAGTGCTCGGATGACAGGCGTGAGCCACCACGCCCGGCTAAGTTTGTATTTTCAGTAGAGATGGGGTTTCTCCATGTTGGCCAGGATGTTCTCGAGCTCCTGACCTCATGATCCACCCGCCTCGGCCTCCCGAAGCGCTGGGATGACAGGCGTGAGCCACCGTGCCCGGCCTCTGGTTTGCAATTGTGACCGAGCTGGTAAGAGGTGGGGGCCAAGGGTTCTCAATCTGTTTTTTAAATTTTTGTGTTTTGTTTTGTTTTGTTTTCGAGACAAGATCTTGCTCTGTCGCCCAGGCTGGAGTGCGGTGGTGAGATCACAGCTCGCTACAGCCTCCAACTCCTGGGCTAAAGCGATCCTCCCACCTCAGCCTCTTCAGGAGCCGGGGCGACAGGCACCCGTGTCACTACGCCCAGCTGATCTGTCTTTTATGATTTTTAAAGACACGGTCTCGTTACGTTACCCAGGCTGGGGGACTCAAACTCGTGGCCTCCAGCGACCCTCGTGCCTCGGCCTCCCGTAGTGCTGGGACTGCAGGTGTGAGCCACCACGCCTGGCCCAAAACAAAATTTACAGAGCAGGACAAGCGCGGTGGCTCACGCCTGTCATCCCAGCACTTTGGGAGGCGGAGGCGGGCGGATCACTGGAGGTCAGGAGCTTGAGACCGGCCTGGCCGATGTGGTGAAACCTCATGTCTACCTAAAAAAACACAAAAATTAGCCGGGCATGGTGGCGGGCGTCTGTCGTCCCAGCTACTCAGGAGGCTGAGGCAGGAGAATCGCTTGAACCTGGGAGGCGGAGGTTGCAGTGAGCCGAGATCACACCACTGCACTCCAGCCTGGGCCACAGAGTGAGACTACATCTCAAAAAGAAAAGGAAAAAGAAAGAAGGAAGGAAGGAAAGGAAGGGAAGGAAAGGAAAGGAGGGAGGGAAGGGAGGTAAGGGAGGGAGGGAAGGGAGGGAAGGAAGGAAGGAAGGGAAGGAAGGAAGGGAAGGAAGGAAGGGAAGGAAGGAAGGGAAGGAAGGAAGGGAAGGAAGGAAGGGAAGGAAGGAAGAGGGGCCGGGCGCGGTGGCTCCCACCCATAATCCCAGCACTCTGGGAGGCCGAGGCGGGCGGATCACCTGGGGTCAGGAGCTTGAGACCAGCCTGGCCAACACGGTGAAACCCCGTCTCTAGTAAATATACAAAAATTAGCCGGGCGTGGTGGCAGGCGCCTGTCGTCTCAGCTATTGGGAGGCTGAGGCAGGAGGATCGCTTGAACCCGGGAGGCGGAGGTTGCAGTGAGCTGAGATCGCACCATTGCACTCCAGCCTCGGCGACACAGAGAGACTCATCTCAAAAAATAAAAATAAAAGTTCCATGGGGAAATGAGCCAGAATATGTGTATCCCCAGCTGTTCTCTAAAGACTGAGGGTATTTGTGCTGTTAGGCGTCTCAAAGTTTTCTCGAATTAATTTATTTTTTTCCTTTATCATCTTCCAGAACTTTCTGCCAGCAGCCTGCGTGCATTTCTTTTGCAAGCAGAAGGCAGCCCTTTTTTTTTTAATGTTAGAATCAAAGAGCCGGTTTCTTTCTGTCTTTGTCAGGAGGATGCGGTACGGTGACCGGGCCCCAGGGCTGCACCGACCGCGTTTTGTGGGGACAGACGTGGGCAGAGTGGCTGAGATAGGAGGGGAACAGGTGCCCTCGGGCTGGGGCAGGGAGAGGGCACTGCCACGCATCGCCCTGATCATTCTATTCTGTCGCAGAGCCGTGGGCAGGACCCCCTCGGGCAGGTGAGAGCCCCAGGTGAGCCCCCCCCGCCTCACCTGGCATGCAGGCCGGGGAGGTGACCCCACCCGCAGGTCACAGACACGGGTGTTCTTACGGGAAGCCCGGAGCGTCCTGCGTGGCGAGGTGCCCGGGGAGGCGGCGGTGGGGGGTGGATCGGCAGAAACAAGTTGTGTTCTGAGGCGCAGCGCCTGTGATGTGGGAGCCGGGCGCCCGGGGTTTGCAGACGTTTCTCGGTAATGTTTGTGCAGAAGCAAAGATCGAGCTCCTGGCTGGAGACCGTGAGGCCACTATAGAGAGACCACGGATGCTGGCTGCCGGGAAGGTGGCAATTAGCAGGATTTATGGTGTTTGCACGGCTCCCTGCGGTGGGGCATCCTCTTGGAGGCGGCCCTGGGGAGCAGCGTGGGGTCCAGACGGTGTCTCCGGCCCGGCTTCAGAACAAGCCACGCGGCGTCCGGGAGGACCCGTTGTCAGAGGCGAATGAACCGCAGTGACTCCCTCTTGACTGACGGCTGATTCCTCGCCTGCAGACGTTTACGGTCAAGGGAACGAATGCGGCTCACGCCTGGAATCCCAGCGCTCTGGGAGGCCGAGGCGGGCGGATCACGAGGTCAGGAGTTCGAGACCAGCCTGGCCAACACGGTGAAACCCCGTCTCTACTAAAAACACAAAAATTAGCCGGGCGTGGTGGCGGGTGCCTGTAATCGCAGCTGCTCAGGAGGCTGAGGCGGGAGAATCACTTGAACCCGGGAGGTGGAGGTTGCGGTGAGCAGAGATGGCACCACTGCACTCCAGCCTGGGGACAGAGTGAGACTCCATCTCAGAAAAAAAAAAAAAAAGGAAGAAATTGATAATGTTTACTGGCACGGTGGCTCACGCCTGTAATCCCAGCACGTTGGAAGGCTGAGGTGGGTGGATCACATGAGGTTGGCAGTTCGAGGCCAGCCTGACCAACATGGAGAAACCCCGTCTCTACTAAAAAAAATACAAAATTAGCCGGGCGTGGTGGCGGGCGCCTGTCATCCCAGCTACTCGGGAGGCTGAGGCAGGAGAATTCCTTGAACCCGGGAGGCGGAGGTTGAGGTGAGCTGAGATCGCACCACTGCACTCCAGCCTGGGCAACAAGAGCGAAACTCCATCTCAAAAAAAAAAAAAAAGTATTTACTAAACAGCCCCAGACTTGGGAGTGTCCAGGTATCTTAATATCTGGAGAACAAAGGCATTTTCCTAAGTTTGCTCTAAACATAATACCAATTCTCGGCCGGGCGCGGTGTTTCACGCCTGTCATCCCAGCACTTTGGGAGGCCGAGGCGGGCGGATCAGGTAGTCAGGGGTTCGAGACCAGCCTGGCCAATATGGTAAAACCCGTGTCTATTAAAAGTACAACGATTAGCCGGGTGTGGCGGGTGCCTGTAGTCCCAGCTACTCAGGAGGCTGAGGCAGGAGAATGGCTTGAACCCGGGAGGTGGAGGTTGCAGTGAGCCGAGATCGCGCCACCGCACTCCAGCCTGGGCGACAGAGCGAGACTCCATCTCAAAAAATAATAACTATAATACTGATTCTTGCAAAATATAGTAATTAAGAAAATTAATCCTTTATCACGAACCTTTGTAGCAGAGCACGTGTACCCGTATAGACAATTCTTTCTTTCTTTTTTTTTTTTTTTTGAGACAGAGTCTCGCTCTGTCGCCCAGGCTGGAGTGCAGTGGCGCGATCTCAGCTCACTGCAACCTCCGCCTCCCGGGTTCACGCCATCCTCCTGCCTCGGTCTCCCGAGTAGCTGGGACTACAGGTGCCCACCACCACGTCCGGCTAATTTTTTGTATTTTTAGTAGAGATGGAGTTTCATCGTGCTGGCCAGGCTGGTCTCGATCTCCTGACCTCGTGATCCACCCGCCCTGGCCTCCCAAACTGCTGGGATGACAGGCGTGAAACACCGCGCCCGGCCCCATTTTACTTTCTAAATAAACTTGCTTTTATTTTGCACTGCAAACTTGCCGTGAATTCTTTCTTGCACGAGATCCAGGTACCCTCTCTTGGGGTCTCAATCCGGAGACCCCAAGATGGCGTTGGCTGCCCGGTGGTCCGGGACTCAGGGGTCCACACGGGCTCTTCTGTGGCAAAAGGGGGATACCGAAGGGACGTCCTCCCTGTCAGCCTCCTGGACAGCTCAGCGTGGGCACCCGGGGAGCCCAGAGCCGCAGCCCCACACCCACCTCCCCGCCCACCAGCTCCCTACATGCTCAGAAGCAGGAGGACGTGAGTTTGAATTTGGCGACGTATCACCCTCTTGTTCTCCAAACCCAACATCAGGGCTGGGAGCCGTACTGCACACCTGTAATCCCAGCACTTTGGGAGGCCGAGATGGGAGGATCGCTGGAGCCCAGAGTTTCAGAGCAGCGTGGGCAACATAGGGAGGCCCTATCTCTACAGAAAATACAAAATGAGGCTGGCACGGTGGTGCATGCCTGTGGTCCCAGCTACTCGGGAGGCTGAGGCAGGAGGATCGCTTGAGCCCAAGGATTGGAGGCTGCAGTGAGCCAAGATCATGCCACTGCACCCCAGCCTGGGCTACATAGGGAGACCCTATCTCTACAGAAAATACGAAATGAGGCTGGCACAGTGGTGCATGCCTGTGGTCCCAGCTACTCGGGAGGCTGAGGCAGGAGGATCGCTTGAGCCCAAGGATTGGAGGCTGCAGTGAGCCAAGATCATGCCACTGCACCCCAGCCTGGGCTACATAGGGAGACCCTATCTCTACAGAAAATACAAAATGAGGCTGGCACAGTGGTGCATGCCTGTGGTCCCAGCTACTCGGGAGGCTGAGGCAGGAGGATCGCTTGAGCCCAAGGATTGGAGGCTGCAGTGAGCCAAGATCATGCCACTGCACCCCAGCCTGGGCAACAGACCAAGACCCTGCCTCGAAAAAAAAGAAAAGAAAAACCACATCCTTGAAGGTGCCAGGAGGGACGTTTATTTGGACCTCACGGAACGCTCTCTCGTCTTGGGGATCTGGGGGTGGGGGGATGGCTTCAGCGTTCACCTCCGTGCCAGACGCAGCCCCGGGCACACGGTGAACAGTTCCTAGTGGGCTGGTGATGAAGGCCTTTCGCCAGGTCCCGTTAGGTCCTCTGAGAAGTCTCCAGGGCCCCAGGGGCAGGAACAGGCTTGAAGTATTTGTGGGCTTATAAAGGTTTCCACCTGCCCGTAAAACGACGTTTACGAGAGCCCACCTCCACCTAGCAGTCACGGCCGCCTCCCCTCCTCACCCCTCCGGCGGCTCCAAATCCCTGGATTATGGAAAACGGTGTGCGTGATCTGGACTCGGAGATCTGTTAGAAATACACACATTTGGGAAGAGAGGTCAGAAAGGCAGATTTAAGAATAAAGACCTTCCCTGGGGTGGGCAGGGGTGGGGGCAGTGTAAATGAAAGGCGGGATTTGGGCGGGCAGATACATCAAGCCCAGGTGTTCAAGATCACCATGGGCAACAGAGCAAGAGTCTGTCCCTACAAAAAAATTTAAAAATTAGCTGGGAGTGGTGGCACCTGTCTGTAGTCCCAGCTCCTCAGGAAGCTGAGGCAGGAGGATCACCTGAGCCCAGGAGGTGGACGCTGCAGTGAGCTGAGATTGCACCACTGCACTCCAGCCTGGGCCACAGAGCAAGAGCCTGTCCCTACAACAAAATTAAATATTGGCCAGGTGTGATGGTGTATGTCTGTAGTCCCAGCTCCTCAGGAGGCTGAGGTGGGAGGATCACCTGAGCCCAGGAGGTGGAGGCTGCAGTGAGCGGAGATTGCACCAGTGCACTCCAGCCTGGGCCACAGAGCAAGACCCTGTCTCTACAAAAAAAATTAAATATTGGCCAGGTGTGATGGTGTATGTCTGCAGTCCCAGCTCCTCAAGAGGCTGAGGCAGGAGAATCGCTTGAACCAGGAGGCGGAGGTTGCAGTGATCCGAGATCACACCACTGCACTCCAGCCTGGGTGACAGAGCGAGACTCCGTCTCAAAAACAAACAAACGAAAAATGGCTCACACGGTGAATTTTATGTTCTGTACGTCTTACGTGCCACGGTAAACAAACAGGAAAACAAGACTCAGAAAGCATTCATCAGCCACCACGTGAAAACCACCCCTTGATCCATTTTTATAATTAATTTCAGACAGTCAGGTATTTGGTTTAAGAGCTGTGGGAGTCCACGCTACCTGGGGTGCTCGGACGCTTAATTGCAAAATAATTAGAGAAAATTGGTGACTGCTTTCATCTCTGTTTCATCTTTCAGGGTGAAAAGTGAAAATCTAGACGCTTCCGGTTCTATTCTAATGATGTTTCATACGCGGCCGCCAAGGCACAAAGCAAGCTGACCGTTTTGTACCATTTGGACTTGACTTTTTTCTAAATGTCATAAGGGAAACTTAATTCCTTTTAATTAAATGTCTTTAAAAGCCCGTCCCTTTAGTCTTTGAGCTCCTCTTCTCGGTCTCCTCCCGCGCTGTGGAGGGTACTTCCATTTTCAATAAATCCCTTCATTCCTTCCTTGCAAAAAATAAAAATAAAATAGGGCCAGGTGAGGTGGCTCACACCTGTCATCCCAGCACTCTGGGAGGCAGAGGAGGGTGGATCACCTGAGGTCAGGAGTTCGAGACCAGCCTGACCAACATGGTGAAACCCCGTCTCTACTAAAAACACAAAATTAGCCGAGCGTGGTGGTGCACGCCTGTAATCTCAGCACTTTGGGAGACTGAGGCAGGAGAATCACTTGAACCCGGGAGGCGGAGGTTGCAGTGAGCCGAGATCCCGCCACCGCACTCCAGCCTGGGCAACAAGAGTGAAACTCCGCCTCAAAAATATTAATAATAAAATAAATAAAAAATAGGCCGGGCGCGGTGGCTCACGCCTGTAGTCCCAGCACTTTGGGAGGCCGAGGCTGGCGGATCACCTGAGGTCAGGAGTTCAAGAACAGCCTGGCCGACACGGCGAGACCCCATCTCCACTAAAAATACAAAAATTAGCTGGGCGTGGTGTGGGCACCTGTCATCCCAGCTACTCGGGAGGCTGAGGCAGGAGAATCCGTTGAACCCGGGAGGCGGAGGTTGCAGTGAGCCGAGATCACACCATTGCACTCCAGCCTGGGTAACAAGAGCAAAACTCCATCTCAAAAATGATAATAATAATAATAAAATAAAAAATAAAAGGTGCCATTTCCCCTGCTCCTTTTATTTTTGACATGCTTTTCAGCATGACTGTGTACAGCAGTCGGCCCCTGCCCTGGAGTCCAGCTGCACCTGCTCCTGCCCCAGCCCCGGCTGACCGAGGTCTGTTTACGTCTCCCCAGTATCACCCAGCAACGGGGACCTAAACACAGCTGAGCAGCAAAGACAAGGGCCCCCGGGTGGTAAAGACGCAGGTCCTCTTTCCGCAGATGGCCCTGAAAAAGACCCTATGCCCCAAGGACCCGGGGTCGGGGGAGGTTTCTCCTCTGCTCTGCACCCCACATCCCGAGCTCTCGGGCAGCTCCGAGCTCAGCCGTGGGTCCTGGAGGAAGGAGGGAGACGCTGTGTTACGGTTCCCCGCGGGTGGGAACCAGTGCCCTTCTAATTCGGAAGGTGGCACATTCCCCAGGCCTGAAGTCATGCTGGCCTGGAGGGGGGCTGCCATCCTGTCCGGGGGGCCTGGCTCGTCTTGGAAGGGCAGGCATTGTGGAGGCTGGGACTCCCGGCTTCTCCCCAGCTTCCTTCCTCCCTGACCAGCCCATCGGAAAAGCAATTCCTCCTGTAGACCTCAGAGCTCCAGCGTCTCCGGCATCCACCCACCCCGGGCCTTTGCAAGCCACCCTGACCGCCGATGCCAAGCGGGATGTCTAAATCGGGCGCGTGCATTCCTGCCACTAAGCGTGGCCCTCGGTTAATCCCTGGCAGGGGGTGACTGTCTTGGCCGTGGAATGTGTGGACGGAATGTTGGGGCCGGGTGAGCTGTTGAAAGCTCGTCCCCGGCGCCCACCCGGACTCCGCAGCTCCATGGACACTATTTCCAGGATGGGGGAGCGGACAGGGCCCCTTTCAACCTTCGGAATTCCTGGCGGGGCCTCCCAGCTGTGCTCGCCATGCTTATTTAAATCTCGCTGATTTAAAAGAAAATCCTTTTCCATCTTCTTCTGGGTGGCTTGAGGCTGTGCCTAGGGGGGTCCATGGTCACCGGCTGTATTTTCACAAACCATTGATTTTTTTTTTTCTTTTTGAGACAGACTTTCGCTGTCACCCACGATCTCAGCTCACTGCAACGTCCGCCTCCCAGGTTCAAGCAATTCTCCTGCCTTACTCTCCCGAGTAGCTGGGATAACAGGCACACACCATCACACCTGGCTAATTTTTTTTTTTGTATTTTTTTTTTTAGTAGAGATGAGGTTTTGCCATACTGGCAAGGCTGGTCTTGAACTCCTGGGCTCAAGCAATCCACCGGCCTCGGCCTCCCAAAGTGCTGGGATTACAGGCAAGACCCACTGCACCTGGCCTCTACAAACAATTTAAAAATAAAATCAGCCGAGCATGGTGGCTCACGCTCGTAGTCCCAACCACTCAGGAGGCCGATATGAGAGCATCGCTTGAGGCCAGGAGTTTGAAACCAGCCTGGACAATATTGCAAGACCCCCATCTCTCAAAAAACAAATTTAAAATTGGCCAGGCATGGTGGCGCACACCTGTAGTCCCAGCTACTCGGGAGGCTGATGCAGGAGGATTGGTGGAGCCCAGAGGGTTGAGGCTGCAAGGAGCTGAGATCCCAACACTGCACTCCAGCCTGGGCAACAGAGCAAGACCTCAGCTGAAAAAATAAAGACAAGTTTGATACCGACAGTGACAGCTGTGCTCAAATTTGTGGGTTCCTAGCCCTGGAGCAGGGTTTCAATTTTTTTCTTTGAGACAGTCTCAAAAAACCAAAGAAACAAAAAACCTCTGAGATGGTTATATTTCAATTTCTCTGAGATACAGGGTGTATTACCTTGGAACACTATTGTTGCCAACTTGATCTCCCACCTACGGTGAACAAAACTTTGCGTTTGAATCCAAAAACAGGCTAGGCAAGTATATTGAGACATTCATAAAAGCTCTTTGAATCGGCAATGGGAGTCATTGCAACTTTATTTATTTACTTTTTTTTTGGAGACGAGGTTTTGGTCTGTTGCCCAGGCTGGAGTGCAGTGGTGCGATCACAGCTAACTGCAGCCTCGACCTCCTAGGCTCAGGCAATCCTCCTGCCTCAGCCTCCTGAGTAGCTGGGACTATAGGTGTGCACCGCCACAGCTGGCTAATTTTTAAGTTTGTTTTTTTTTTTTGAGACGGAGTCTCGCTCTGTCGCCCAGCCTGGAGTGCAGTGGTGCCATCTCAGCTCACTGCAAGCTCGGCCTCCCGGGTTCACCCCATTCTCCTGCCTCAGCCTCCTGAGTAGCTGGGACTATAGGTGTGCACCACCACAGCTGGCTAATTTTTAAGTTTTTTTTTGTTTGTTTGCTTGTTTCTTTGTTTTGAGATGGAGTCTCGCTCTGTCGCCCAGGCTGGAGTGCAGTGGCGCGATCTCGGTTCACTGCAAGCTCCGCTTCCCGGGTTCACGCCATTCTCCTGCCTCAGCCTCCCGAGTAGCTGGGACTACAGGCGCCGCCACCACGCCCGGCTAATTTTTTTTGTATTTTTAGTAGAGACGGGGTTTCACCGTGTTAGCCAGGATGGTCTTGATCTCCTGACCTCGTGATCCACCCGCCTCGGCCTCCCAAAGTGCTGGGATTACAGGTGTGAGCCACCGCGCCCGGCCCCAAATTATTTATTTATTTATTTATTTATTTATTTATTTATTTATTTAGACACAGTCTCACTCTGCCACCGAGGCTGGAGTGCAATGGTGTGATCTCGGCTCACTGCAACCTCCGCCTCCCGGGTTCAAGCAATTCTCCTGCCTCAGCCTTCCGAGTAGCTGCAATTACAGGTGCCCACCACCGTGACCAGGTGATTTTTGTATTTTTAGTAGAGATGGGGTTTCACCATGTTGGCCAGGCTGGTCTCAAACTCCTGACCTCAGGTGATCCGCCCACCTCGGCCTCTCAAAGCGCTGGGATGACAGGTGTGAGCCAACATGCCCGGCCTAAAAGTAGCCACTTTTAACACTATAACTAAAGCAAGCTGCTTTGGGGCAGACATCAACAACATTCTTTTTTTTTTTTTTTGAGTCGGAGTTTCAGTCTTTGTCACCCAGGCTGGAGTGAAATGTCGCGATCTCAGCTCATTGCCACCTCGGCCTCTTGGGTTCAAGCAATTCTCCTGCCTCAGACTCCTGAGTAGCTGGGATTACAGGCACATGCCACCATGCCCAGGTGATTTTTGTATTTTTAGTAGAGACAGGGTTTCGACACGTTAGCCAGGCTGGTCTCGAACTCCTGACCTCGGGTGATCCGCCCGCCTCAGCCTCCCAAAGTGCTGGGATTACAGGCGCATGCCACCATGCCTAGGTGATTTTTGTATTTTTAGTAGAGACAGGGTTTCGCCATGTTGGCCAGGCTGGTCTCGAACTCCTGACCTCAGGGGATGCACCCGCCTCAGCCTCCCAAAGTGCTGGGATTACAGGCGTGAGCCACCGTGCCCAGCCTAAAAGTAGCTGCTTTTACCACTATGAGTAAAGCAGTTGGGCAAGTGTGGTCAGCAGATTCCCAGACATAAAATCCAGGACCCAGGCTCTTTTCCACAGCTCACCGTGGAGCCCATCGCAATGCCTGGGATCCACCTGGCCACCAGGTCCTTGCACCCCACAGTCACGACAGCTGCCCTGGGTCCCCGGGGTCATGGAATTCTCCAGATCTGCCAGTCCGCCTGAATTGGAGTAGCTCTTCCCAGAAAACCTCTGCAAACCCCAGCCGAGGCTCAACAGCCCGGCTGCCACGGGTGCCGAGAACCAGGCGTGCCCACGGAGGTGAGAGCAGGTAGGAGACAGAGCTGATGCTTGGATAGGACCCACACGTTCCTCCCACCGAGAGGTCCGAAGGCAGCCAGGCGCGGTGGCTCCCGCCTGTCATCCCAGCACTTTGGGAGGCCGAGGCGTGTGGATCACCTGAGGTCAAGAGTTCAAGACCAGCCTGGCCAACATGGAGAAACCCCATTTCTACTAAAAATACAAAATTACCCAGGTGTGGTGGCGGGCACCTGTAATCCCGGCTACTCAGGAGGCTGAGGCAGGAGAATCGTTTGAACCCGGGAGGCGGAGGTTTCAGTGAGCCGAGATCACACCACTGCACTCCAGCCTGGGTGACAGAGCAAGACTCCATCTCAAAAAAAAAAAAAAGCCTGAAGGCTCCCACTGAGTGTCCTGCTTTCAAGTTAGCTGCACCCCAGCCTGCTGCGGTGGCTCACGCCTGTCATCCCAGCACTATGGGAGGCGAAGGCGGGTGGATCACTTGAGGTCAGGAGTTTGAGACCAGACTGGCCAACATGGTGAAACCCCATCTCTACTAAAAATACAAAAATTAGCCCGGGCATGGTGGCAGGTGACTGTCATCCCAGCTACTCAGGAGGCTGAGGCAGGAGAATCGCTTGAACCTGGAAGCCGGAGGTTGCAGTGAGCCGAGATCGTGCCACTGCACTCCAGCCTGGGCGACAGAGCGAGACTCTGCCTCAAAAAAAAATAAAATAAAGTAAAACAAAAATAAAATAAAATGTATTCTGATGTCTGGACACCATGGTTCATACCCATAATCCCAGCAGTTTTGGAGGCTGGGACAGGAGGATCACTTGAGGCCAGGAGTTCAAAACCAGCCTGGGCATATAGGGAGAACCTCTCTCTACAAAAAAACAAACCAAAAAAACTTAACTGGGGATGGTGTTGTGCACCTACAGTCCAAGTGTACTAGTCTGTTCTCAGGCTGCTAATAAAGGCATAACGAAGATGGGGTAATTTATAAAGGAAAGAGGTTTAATGGACTCACATTTCCGCATGGCTGGGGAGGCCTCACAATCATGGCGGAAGACGAAGAAGGAGCAAAGTCACATCTTACATGGCGGCAGGCAAAAAAAGGGCGTATAGAGGGGTGCTCCCATTTATAAAACCATCAGATCTTGGCCGGGCACGGTGGCTCACGCCTGTCATCCCAGCACTTTGGGAGGCTGAGGAGGGTAGATCACCTGAGGTGAGGAGTTTGAGATCAACGTGGCCAACATGGTGAAACCTCGTTTCTATTAAAAATACAAAAAATTAGCCAGGTGTGGTGGCGGGTGCTTGTAATCCCAGCTACTTGGGAGGCAGAGGTTGCAGTGAGCCGAGATCATGATATTGCACTCCAGCCTGGGTGACAAGAGCGAGACTCTGTCTCAAAAAAAAAAAAAAAAAAAAAAATCAGATCTCATGAGACCTATTCACTACCACGAGAACAGTCTGGGGGAAACTGACCCTATGATTCAATTCTCTCCACCTGGCCCTGCCCTTGACACGTGGGGATGATAACCGTTCAAGGTAAACCTTGGGAGGGGACATAGCCAAACCATGTCACCCAGCTACTCAGGAAAAACCGCGTCACCCAGCTACTCGGGAGAAACCGCATCACCCAGCTACTCTGGAGAAACCGCGTCACCCAGCTACTCGGGAGAAGCCGCGTCACCCAGCTACTCGGGAGAAGCCGCGTCACCCAGCTACTCGGGAGAAACGGCGTCACCAGCTACTCCGGAGAAACGGCGTCACCAGCTACTCGGGAGAAACGGCGTCACCCAGCTACTCGGGAGAAACGGCGTCACCAGCTACTCTGGAGAAACGGCGTCACCAGCTACTCGGGAGAAACGGCGTCACCAGCTACTCGGGAGAAACGGCGTCACCAGCTACTCGGGAGAAACGGCGTCACCAGCTACTCGGGAGAAACGGCGTCATTCAGCTACTCGGGAGAAACGGCGTCACTCAGCTACTCTGGAGAAACGGCGTCACTCAGCTACTCGGGAGAAACGGCGTCACCAGCTACTCGGGAGAAACGGCGTCACCAGCTACTCCGGAGAAACAACATCACCCAGCTACTCGGGAGAAACGGCGTCACCAGCTACTCTGGAGAAACAGCGTCACCAGCTACTCTGGAGAAACGGCGTCACCAGCTACTCGGGAGAAACGGCGTCACCAGCTACTCGGGAGAAACGGCGTCACCAGCTACTCGGGAGAAACGGCGTCACCAGCTACTCGGGAGAAACGGCGTCACCAGCTACTCTGGAGAAACGGCGTCACTCAGCTACTCTGGAGAAACGGCGTCACCAGCTACTCGGGAGAAACGGCGTCACCAGCTACTCGGGAGAAACGGCGTCACCAGCTACTCGGGAGAAACGGCGTCACCAGCTACTCGGGAGAAACGGCGTCACCAGCTACTCGGGAGAAACGGCGTCACCAGCTACTCGGGAGAAACGGCGTCACCAGCTACTCTGGAGAAACGGCTTCACCCAGCTACTCGGGAGAAACGGCGTCACCAGCTACTCTGGAGAAACAGCGTCACCAGCTACTCGGGAGAAACGGCGTCACCAGCTACTCGGGAGAAACGGCGTCACCAGCTACTCGGGAGAAACGGCGTCACTCAGCTACTCGGGAGAAACAGCGTCACCAGCTACTCTGGAGAAACAGCGTCACCAGCTACTCGGGAGAAACGGCGTCACCAGCTACTCGGGAGAAACGGCGTCACCCAGCTACTCGGGAGAAACGGCGTCACCAGCTACTCGGGAGAAACGGCGTCACCAGCTACTCGGGAGAAACGGCGTCACTCAGCTACTCAGGAGAAATGGCGTCACCAGCTACTCGGGAGAAACGGCGTCACTCAGCTACTCGGGAGAAACGGCGTCACTCAGCTACTCGGGAGAAACGGCGTCACCCAGCTACTCGGGAGAAACAGCATCACCAGCTACTCGGGAGAAACAGCATCACCAGCTACTCGGGAGAAACGGCGTCACCAGCTACTCGGGAGAAACGGCGTCACTCAGCTACTCGGGAGAAACAGCGTCACCAGCTACTCGGGAGAAACGGCGTCACCAGCTACTCGGGAGAAACGGCGTCACTCAGCTACTCTGGAGAAACGGCGTCACCAGCTACTCGGGAGAAACGGCGTCACCAGCTACTCGGGAGAAACGGCGTCACCAGCTACTCGGGAGAAACGGCGTCACCAGCTACTCGGGAGAAACGGCGTCACCAGCTACTCTGGAGAAACGGCTTCACCCAGCTACTCGGGAGAAACAGCGTCACCAGCTACTCTGGAGAAACAGCGTCACCAGCTACTCTGGAGAAACAGCATCACCCAGCTACTCGGGAGAAACGGCATCACCAGCTACTCTGGAGAAACGGCATCACCAGCTACTCCGGAGAAACAGCGTCACCAGCTACTCCGGAGAAACAACATCACCCAGCTACTCGGGAGAAACAGCGTCACCCAGCTACTCGGGAGAAACGGCGTCACCCAGCTACTCGGGAGAAACGGCGTCACCAGCTACTCCGGAGAAACAACATCACCCAGCTACTCGGGAGAAACAGCGTCACCCAGCTACTCGGGAGAAACAGCGTCACCCAGCTACTCGGGAGAAACGGCGTCACCCAGCTACTCGGGAGAAACAGCATCCTCCAGCTACTCTGGAGAAGCCACGTCACCCAGAAACTCTGGAGAAGCCGCCTCACCCAGATACTCGGGAGAAACCGCGTCACCCAGCTACTCTGGAGAAACAGCGTCACCCAGCTACTCGGGAGAAACAGCATCCTCCAGCTACTCTGGAGAAGCCGCGTCACCCAGAAACTCTGGAGAAGCCGCGTCACCCAGATACTCGGGAGGAACCGCGTCACCCAGCTACTCTGGAGAAACAGCGTCACCCAGCTACTCGGGAGAAGCCACGTTGCCCGGCTACTTGGGGAGCTGAGGAGGGAGGATCCCTTGAGCCTGAGAGTCCAAGGCTACAGGAGCGAGACCCTGTCTCAAAAAAAAAAAAAAAAACAAATATAAGTAAAGCAATAAAATAGACTGTGGTGATGGTGGCACAAGTCTCTGCATACAGAAAGCCACGGGTTGGAAGAGTTTAAACGGACACATTGTCAGCTGTGTAAATTCTCTCTCTATACAGCTCTTTTCTGGAAAACCAGTGAATGTGACGCACCGTATTCATGGCTAAGGGGCCAAACTCACATGACCATTTGCAGAAATGCAGGAAAAGCATTTGAGCAAAGGCAGTGCCTTTTCGCGATAAAAATTCAGTCAACCCAGAAGGGGACAGAAAGTTCCTCAAGCCGCTGAAGATCCAGAAGACGGCCCTGGCCGGTGGGCCGCGATGAAGGTCGCTCTGGGCGCCGTCGGGTAAAGCGTGAGACGCACTCCCTGTCAGAATACAGTCCAGGAAGGAAGGGCTTCTCCGAGGCGTCAAAAGTCATGCGTTGCCCCGGCCTGGGTTAGGAACCATCAGTCTTGTCATCCCAGAGACTCTCCCAGCACCCGGGGAATAAATGAGACATTGGAACGGGCTGCAATCCCGCCCCGGCAGACGGTGCCGTTTGATTTCTCTTCCATCTACACGATGCGCGTCACATAAAAAGGTGACTGTGTGGCCGGGCGAGGTGGCTCATGCCTGTCATCCCAGCACTTTGGGAGGCCGAGGCGGGAGGATCACTCGAGGTCGGGAGTTCGAGACCAGCCTGGCCAACATGGTGAAACCGCGTCTCCACTAAAAATACAAAAAGTAGCCGGGCGTGGTGGCGGGTGCCTGTCATCCCAGCTACTCGGGAGGCTGAGGCAGGAGAATCGCTTGAACCCGGGAGGCGGAGGTTGCGGCGAGCCGAGATTGCACCTCTGCACTCCAGCCTGGGCGACAGAGCAAGACTCTGTCTCAAAAAAAAAAAAAAAAAAAAAAGGTAACTTTGTGACCCTGAATAAAATTAAAATGTCTAAAAAATATGAGCCAGGCTTGGTGGTGCATGCACGCTGAGGCAGGAGGATCTCTTGAACCCAGGAGGCGGAGTCTGCAGTGAGCCGAGATCACACAGGTGCGCTCCAAGCTGGGCAACAGAAGGAGACCCTGTCTCTAAAATAAAATAAAATAAAATAAATAAAATGAAATAAAATAAAAATAAATAATAATAAATTTAAATAAATTTAAATAACTATCTAAATGAATACATAAATAAATAAATGAATAAATTTAAATAAATTTAAATTTAAACAAATTTGATTATTTATTTATTATTATATATTTATTATATATTATTATTTATTAATTAAATTTATTAAATAAATTTAAATCGTTTTTTAAATTAAATTATAATTTCCCTCATGACATTTAAATTTAAATGAAAATGTCATGAGGGAAATTATAACTATATTTCATTTAAAATACGTTAACAAAGCAAATGTTATCACAGAGTATTTACAACAAAGCACTTTTGGTGACTTTAAAAGCAGATTACACAAACAATATCACAGTGTTTTAGATCCAATGGGGACTACAAATGTCCGTTAAGGGTTTTGTGGGGTTTGTTTTTTTTTTCGGTACGACATTAAAACAGATTTTGTCAAGAATTATTACCTCCTCGAACAAAAAGCACATTGTTGTCTCAGGGAAAAAAAAACACACAATTATGCTATTGAGTTTGTGGCTACAAAGATGTACTGTCATATAAAGTAATAAAAACGGGGAAAACAACATAAAATAAGAGTTAGACGGATTAAACGACTTCATAGGAACCTGAGGAAAAGGAAGCAAAGTCCCTTTACTGAGAGCGCTTTTAGGGACGCATAATCAATACTAAAGTTTATACATCCTGCCTCGGGACTTGATTTAAAAATTCTCCTATTTATTAAATAAGTTGACGTTGTTTTGAGATGTAATGAAATGGCCGCAGCAGGTGCGGAGGCCGATTTTTGAGGGGGGCAGGTGGAGCACGGCTGGCCTTGTGCAGCCCTCTGCTGAGTGTGCGTGATTTCTACTGCAAATGCTCACTGTCAAGACACGAACCATTCCCGTTTATCTCAAAGAGGACTTATTTAATAATTCCAGCATTGTGTCCTTTCCTTGAAAGAAAGGACACAAAGAAGTGCAGGGGTGGCCGGGTGCGGTGGCTTATGCCTATAATCCCAGCACTTTGGGAGGCTGAGGTGGGTGCATCCCCTGAGGTCAGGAGTTCGAGACCAGCCTGGCCAACAAGGTGAAACCCCCGTCTCTACTAAAAATACAAAAATTAGCCAGGCATGATGGTGCACACCTGTAATCCCAGCTACTCGGGAGGCTGAGGCAGGAGAATCGCTTGAACTGGGAGGTGGAGGTTGCGGTGAGCCGAGATCGTGCCACTGCATTCCAGCCTGGGAGACGGAGAGAGACGCCGTCTCAAAAAATAATAATAATAATAATTAGCTGGGCATGATGGCAGGTGCCTGTAATCCCAGCTACTCGGGAGGCTGAGGCAGGAGAATCGCTTGAACCAGAGAGGCGGAGGTTGTGGTGACCTGAGATCGTACCACTGCACTCCAGCCTGGGCAACAGCGCAAGACTCCATCTCAAAAAAAAAAAAAAAAAAAAAAAAAAGAAAAAGAAAAGAAAAGAAAAAAAAAGAAGTTCAGAGTTTGCAGACGTGAACCCTACATGACCCAAATGTCGTCCTTTCCGGAGAGAAATCGCGTGGCTATGATTTAGGACGATTTCTACTTCCAACCTTTAGGAAAATGACAAAGAGGAGGTTCAATGTCTGCGCTGGGGACCCCCCGAGCCTGTCCAGGTTGCACCGTCATTGCCCAGAGAATGCTCAGATTGCATTTCACAATGTGGTCCCAGGGGCCGACCTATTCCGTTGCAGGTGAGCGTAGAAGCATGAAGCTGTTCAATCTGCACACAGCACCTGACGGCCCTGGGGTTTTACGCCGGCAATGACCGTGCTGTGGTTCCCACCTTCCGGGGTTGAGGAAGGACCTGCCAGCCTTTACGCTTTGCCGCCCCAGCACGCAGGTGGCAACTGTGGCAGAGAAGGGAAAATGGGAGCCCAGGAGGTCTCCTAGGGAGAGCAGCGATCCGACTGTGGGTCCCAGGGCGGGCTCTGAATCTCAGCCCCACTGTCTCCAAGGGGCTTCCTCAGCTGGGAAGTGGGAACCACGGTGCCCCCTAAACGAGGCATATTCTTCACTCCAGCATCAGGTTCCTGCCAGGGACTCCAAGTCAGGAGGACAAGCTCCTGCGCGGCCTGCGTGGCCGCTCCCCTGTGCGGGCCCTCTCCTGAGTGGGGAGAAAGCTGCTTCCCCCAGTTCTTCCCTGGGCAACACCCCCTGCCAGCTGCAAGGACACACACGCACACACAGAACCACGTGCTCAGTCACAGGCTCACGCACTCACACGTACCCTCACACACATGCACACACATACAGTCACGTGCTCAATCACACACGCACTCACACATACCCTCACACACACACAAATAGCCACGTGCTCACACTCACACGTACCCTCACAGAGCCAAATGCTGAATCACACACACATACCCTCACACACACACCCTCACACACACACACATACTCATACGTTCACACTCACGCACTCACACATACCCTCACACACACATACTCAGTCACACATCAAAGCATTTTCATAGATAGCTTGTTTCTAGCTTTTATCATTGGATATTCTATGTTTCCTTACAAGCCTCGATGGACTCAGAAACGTCACTTTGGAGATTCTACAAAAAGAATGTTTCCAAGTTGGTGACTCAAAACATTTAAAGTGATCCTCCTATCTCCTTGTAGCTGGGCCTACAGGCAGGTGCCACCATGCCCGGCTAATTTAGTGTATTTTTTTTTTTTTTGCAGAGACTGGATCTTGCTGTGTTGTCCAGGCTGGTCTCAGACTCCTGAACTCAAGGAACCTACCCACCTCTACTTCCCAAAGTGCTGGGATGACAGGCTGGAGCCCCGACGCCCTTGTTTCATTTATCGAGGGAACAAACATGTATTAGGAAGCTACCGTGAAGACAGTTCCATGGTGTAATGGTGAACATTCTGGACTCTGAATGTGTCTGTCTGAAAGCTACCGTGTGACAGGTGCCATTCTATTTCCCGGGGTCCCTGTAGTGAGAGAAACAGACCAAGGAGAAACCTTCCTGTCCTCGGCGGCTCACGTTCTGATTGGTGGGGGCTGGGTGGGGCTGTGAGGGGTGGGTTAAACCCAGACAGCCAGCAGGCACACAATTCGCTGTCATAGTGTCAACATTCTTCTCCATAAAGGCTTTCTTCTGGCCGGGCACGGTGGCTCACGCCTGTCATCCCAGCACTATGGGAGGCCGAGGCGGGTGGATCACGAGTTCAGGAGATCGAGACCATCCTGGGTAACACAGTGAAACCCCGTCTCTACCAAAACTACAAAAAATGAGCCGGGCGTGGTGGCGGGCACCTGTCATCCCAGCTACTCGGGAGGCTGAGGCAGGAGGATGGCGTGAACCCGGGAGGCGGAGCTTGCAGTGAGCCCAGATTGCACCACTGCACTCCAGCCCAGGCGACAGAGCGGGACTCCGCCTCAAAAAACAAACAAACAAAAAAGAATACACGGTTCCATTAAACAAGCCAGCCTCTCTGAGACTCCCGGAGGTCAGCTTTGCAGGTTGCTAATTTAATACAGAAGAAGGGTGAAGGGCTTATGTTTTTATAAAATGTAATTTTATATATTTTCATATTTTAAAACTTTTTATAAAATACAATTTTACATATTGTCATATGTGTAAAAATGTTTTTACAAACTATAATTTTGTTTCTATATTTTAAAATTTTTTATAAAACATAATTTTATAAACTATATTTTTTAAAAAATTTATATTGTATTTTATATATATACACACATACACACATATATATACAGACACACACATATATACACACACACAGATATATACACACACACACATACACACACACACACACACACACACACATCTGCACCCAAATTTCCCCGTTCTTTAAGGATAGAAGACATGGTGGTGAGCACCTGTAATCCCAGCTACTTGGGAGACTGAGGCAGGAGAATGGCTTGAACCTGGGAGGCGGAGGTTGCAGTGAGCCAAGATCGCACCACTGCCCTCCAGCCTGGGTGACAAGAGCGAAACTCCGTCTCTTTAATATATATTAAAATGCATACATGGGCCAGGTGCAGTGGCTCACGCCTGTAATCCCAGCACTTTGGGAGGCTGAAGCAGGAGGATGGCTTAAGCCCAGGAGTTTGAGACCAGCCTGGGCAACATAGCGAGATCTCATTTCTAAAGAAATTTAAAAATTAGCTGGGTATGGTGGTGCACGCCTGTGGTCCCTGGTGCTCAGGAGGCTGAGGTGGGAGGATTGCTGGAGCCCAGGAGTTTGAGGCTGCAGTGAGCTGTGATCGTGCCATTGCACTCCAGTCTGAGTGACAGAGAAAGAGTCTGTCTCAAAAAGAAAAAAAAAAAATCTAATTTTCTGCCATGAGAAAGCAAGTTGCTATTGCAGACAGCCACCTCAATCATGCATCCTGGGCTTCTAACCCTGAACTGACAGGATTCACACACTCTCTCATATGCCGAAAGGGTCATGGCTTATAACAATCATGTAGGCGGCCGGGCGCGGTGGCTCACGCCTCTAATCCCAGCACTTTGGGAGGCCGAGGCGGGCGGATCACAAGTTCAGGAGATCTTGAGACCATCCGGGCTAACACGGTGAGACCCCCTGTCTCTACTAAACATACAAAAAATTAGCCGGGTGTTGGTGGCGGGCGCCTGTAGCCCCAGCTACTCTCTAGGAGGCTGAGGCTGGAGAATGGCGTGAACCCGGGAGGCAGAGCTTGCAGTCAGATGAGATGGGGCCACTGCTCTCCAGCCTGGGCGACACAGCGAGACTCCGTCTCAAAAAAAAAAAAAGCATGTAAGCAAGCCTAGGAATCCCTTAGTCTTCCTTCCTATAATAGCAAAATCGTACCAATTCCTCCCTCCCCCAGCTGCCCTCCAAAAATAGCGCCACTCAGCAGGCCCACGATCGAGTGACGGGCACAGAGGTGAGCCCCACAGATGCCGTCTGTACACTTTCCACGGGATGTTTTTAGAACGTGAAAGGCCGGGAATAGCCTCCCCTGCCCACACCCACAAGGCGCCCCAGGAGAGGAAGGTCCCGCAACACGTGGTCTACCTTCTTTTATTGTTGCTTTTCATTTATTTTTATTGTTTACATTTTTTGGTAGGGGCAGGGTCTTGCTAGGTGGCCCAGGTTGGTCTCGAACTCCAGGCCTCAAGCGATCCTCCTGCCTCGGCCTCCCACTGTGCTGGGATTGTGGGCATGAGCCGCCGCGCCTGGTCCTATGGTCTTTCATTCCAGGGCTGAGAGGGAGTTCAGGTGGCCCCTTGGCTCTGTGTCCGTGTGTAACTGTGGCCGGGCGCGGTGGCTCACGCCTGTCATCCCAGCACTTTGGGTGGCCGAGGCGAGCGGGTCATGAGGTCAGGAGTTCGAGACCAGCCTGGCCAACATGGAGAAACCCCGTCTCCACTAAAAATACAAAATTAGCCGGGCGCGGTGGCTCACGCCTGTCATCTCAGCACTTTGGGTGGCCGAGGCGAGCGGGTCATGAGGTCAGGAGTTCGAGACCAGCCTGGACAACATGGAGAAACCCCATCTCCACTAAAAATACAAAATTAGCCGGGCACGGTGGCTCACGCCTGTCATCTCAGCACTTTGGGTGGCCGAGGCGAGCGGGTCATGAGGTCAGGAGTTCGAGACCAGCCTGGACAACATGGAGAAACCCCATCTCCACTAAAAATACAAAGTTAGCCCGGCACGGTGGCTCACGCCTGTTATCTCAGCACTTTGGGTGGCTGAGGCGAGCGGATCACGAGGTCAGGAGTTCGAGACCAGCCTGGCCAACATGGAGAAACCCCATCTCCACTAAAAATACAAAATTAGCCAGGCACGGTGGCTCACGCCTGTTATCTCAGCACTTTGGGTGGCTGAGGCGAGCGGATCACGAGGTCAGGAGTTCGAGACCAGCCTGGCCAACATGGAGAAACCCCATCTCCACTAAAAATACAAAATTAGCCGGGCGTGGTGGCTCACGCCTGTCATCCCAGCTACTTGGGAGACTGAGGCAGGAGAATTGCTTGAACCCGGGAGGTGGAGGTTGCAGTGAGCTGAGATCGTGCCACTGCACTCCAGCCTGGGCAACAAGAGTGTAACTCTGTCTCAAAAAAATTTAAAAAAAAAATGCAAAAAAAGAAATCAAACTATACATAATATTGCATACAGACAGTCCCCAGCTTCCAATGGTGCAATTCAGGATTTTTTAACTTTATGCTGGAGAGAAAGCAGTATGCATTCAACAGAAAGTGTACTTGAAGGCCGGACGTGATGGCTCACGCCTGTAATCCCAGCACTTTGGGAGGCCAAGGTGGGCCGATCACTTGAGGTCAGGAGTTTGAGACCAGCCTGGCCAACACGGTGAAACCCCGTCTCTACTAAAAATACAAAAAATTAGCCGGGTGTGGTGGCGGGCGCCTGTAGTCCCAGCTACTCGGGAGGCTGAGGCAGGAGAATGGTGTGAACCCGGGAGGCGGAGCTTGCAGTGAGCCGAGATCGCACCACTGCACTCCAGCCTGGGCGACAGAGCGAGACTCCGTCTCAAAAAATAAATAAATAAATAAAATAAAATAACAAAACAAAATAAAGTAGGTCAGAAAGGCAACTGGAGTCCATAGCCCACGTTCTGTAACCCAGTTCTGACTCTGCTGTGCGCCCCGTGGTTAGAAAATGGCAAGTCAACAGAAACGTTCTCAAACCAGAGACCAAGGCACATCCCGAGGCATCCGTCTCACTAACAACTGCGGGGACGTGGGATCTGGGGGACATCCTGTCTCTGCCACTCAGAGCGCTGCTGCGTGCAAACAGGTACAAATGCCAGCAACTCTTCGAGAGCTTCCCACGTCATCCACGGACGGGCACGACCTCTTCCTCACCACCAACACCCACCCTATCCCATCTACCATAGTGTGCTTGCCACAGCGAAGATGATTCCATAAAACACCACTTGTGCTCTGAAACCACAGGGACCCACGTCTGCCTGGACCCGGAAAAACGGTGCAGAATATAGCAGGTTTCTGGCCGGGCGCGTTGGCTTACGCCTGTCATCCCGGCATTTTGGGAGGCCGAGGCGGGTGGATCGCTTGAGGTCAGGAGGTCGAGACCAGCCTGGCCAACATTATAGGTGTGAGCCACCGCCCCCAGCCTGGGACCTTATTTGGAAATAGCGTAGAGATGCTGAAACCCCATCTCTACAAGGAATACAAAATATTAGCCGGGCGTGGTGGCGGGTGCCTGTAGTCCCAGCTACTCGGGAGGCTGAGGCAGGAGAATCGCTTGAACCCGGGAGGCGGAGGTTGCTGTGAGCAGAGATAACACCACTGCACTCCAGCCTGGGTGACAGAGCAAGACTCCATTTCAAAAAAAAAAAAAAAAAAAACAAAAGAAGAAAAGAAAAAAAAAAGAGAGAGTTTTTGTCACGGAAACGCCTGACAGTGCCTTGAAGCTGGGGATTAAGAGTGAATTGCATAGTTGGGATTCTGCAGCCAGAAAGTCATCGCGGAGTTAACGCAGTGCCTGGCCGAGGCTTCCTGAAAGCTGCTGGTCCCTGACCTCTGGGGCACGAACAAGACATCTGAAAATAACTGGGGTTCCGTGCTGCCAAAACGGCACCGGACGTCAGCTGTTCTCCCCGGAGGCATTCCTTCCACACACGGGTTCCTTTGGAGGACAAAGGGAGCAGATGCTGCCGGCCGAGCCTACGGCCTCTTCAGTCCTGGAGGGTGTGGGGGGCAGGAGGAGAGGGCTGCGGTGTCTGGGGCAGCCTCGTCCGGCCACTTCTCAGCAAGACGTCCCTCTGTGCTGTTGAACAACCATGTCTGGACTTTTTTTTTTTTTTTGAGACGGAGTCTCGCTCTGTCGCCCAGGCTGGAGTGCAGTGGCACGATCTCGGCTCACTGCACGCTCCGTCTCCCGGGTTCACGCCATTCTCCTGCCTCGTCCTCCCGAGTAGCTGGGACTACAGGCGCCCGCCACCATGCCCGGCTATTTTTTTTTTTTTGTATTTTTAGTAGAGACGGGGTTTCACCATGTTGGCCAGGATGGTCTCAAACTCCTGACCTCGTGATCCGCCCGCCTCGGCCTCACAAAGTGTGGGATGACAGGCATGAGCCACTGCGCCCGGCCTATTTATTTTATTTTATGTGAGACAGGGTCTTGCTCTGTTGCCCAGGCTGGAATGCAATGGTGTGATCTCGGCTCACTGCAGCCTTGACCTCCTGGGCTCAAGTGATCCTCCCACCTCAGCCTCCCGAGTAGCTAGGACTACAGGTGCACACCACCATGCTGGGCTAATTTTTTTTGGGGGGGGGGTAGAGATGGCATCTCACTACGTTGCCCAGACTAGTTTCAAACTCCTGGGATCAAGTAATCCGCCTGCCTCAGCCTCCCGAGTAGCTGGGACTACAGCATGGGCCACCATGCCCAGCTAATTTTGCTTTTTGGTAGAGATGGGGTCTTGCTATGTTGCCCAAGCTCATCTCAAATTCCTAGGCTCCAGTGATCCTCTCACCTCAGCCTCCCAAAGTACTGGGATTACAGGCAGGAGCCATCCGGCCCGGCTTTTTTTTTTTTTTTTTTTTTTTCAGATGGCATCTCGCTCTGTTGCCCAGGCTGGAGTGCAGTGGTGCAATCTCGGCTCATTGCAACCTCCGCCTCCTGGGTTCAAGTGGTTCTCCTGCCTCAGCCTCCTGAGTAGCTGGGATTACAGGTGCCCACCACCCCACCCAGCTAATTTTGTATTTTTAGTAGAGACGGGGTTTCACCATGTTGGTCAGGCTGGTCACGAACTCCTGACCTTGTGATCCGCCTGCCTCAGCCTCCCAAAGCCCAGCCCTGATTTTTGAATACTCTCTGTACTTCCCAAGTTTTCTCCAATCAGCAACTACTCCTTTTACAAAGAGGAAAAAAACAGTTTTCTGTACTACAGTGCTGTAAATCACTACCCCTGGCTATCAGAAATACGTCCTTCTGGCCGGGCGCAGTGGCTCACGCCTGTAAATCCCAGCACTTTAGGAGGCCGAGGTGGGCGGCTCACGAGGTCAGGAGATCGAGACCATCCTGGCTAACACGGTGAAACCCCGTCTCTACTAAAAATACAAAAAAATTAGCCGGGCGTGGTGGCGGGCGCCTGTAGTCCCAGCTACTCAGGCGGCTGAGGCAGGAGAATGGCATGAACCCGGGAGGTGGAGCTTGCAGTGAGCCGAGATCGCGCCACTGCACTCCAGCCTGGGTGACAGAGCGAGACTCTGTCTCAAAAAAAGAAAAAAAAAAAGAAATACATCCTTCTGTCATTCAGAAAAATGTGCATTTCGGCCGGGCACGGTAACTCACGCCTGTAATCCCAGCACTGTGGGAGACTGAGGCAGGCGGATCACGAGGTCAGGAGATCGAGACCATCCTGGCTAACATGGTGAAACCCTGTCTCTATTAAAAATACAAAAAATTAGCCGGGCGTGGTGGCGGGTGCCTGTAGTCCCAGCTACTAGGGAGGCTGAGGCAGGAGAATGGCGTGAACCCGGGAGGCGGAGCTTGCAGTGAGCTGAGATCACGACACTGCATTCCAGCCTGGGCGACAGAGTGACAGTCTGTCTCAAAAAAAAAAAGAAAGAAAGAAAGAAAGAAATACGTCCTTCTGTCATTAAGAAAAATGTGCATTTCACCAACTACACTCTGAGTCAAATGTAGGTCTTACGCAGAAAAAAAAAAACAAAGCTTTTACCGAAATGGGTACCCAGGCTCCATTCTCAATTTGCTTAAAATTTATGCTGAGCGAAATAAAAGAAGGCGTCACATCTGACATGCTAAGACTTTTTGCCTCATTTCAGATTAGGAGGAAAATCCACCCCATAGCAAAAGTCCGATATCTATCGTTCTAGTTAAAGAATCACCTAGAGGCCAGCGCGGTGGCTCACGCCTGCAACATCCCAGCACTTTGGGAGACTGAGACGGGTGGATCACCTGAGGTCAGGAGTTCGAGACCAGCCCGGCCAACATGGTGAAACCCTGTCTCTACTAAAACTACAAAAATTAGCTGGGCATGCTGGTGGGTGACTGTAATCCCAGCTACTCGGGAGGCTGAGGCAGGAGAGTCACTTGAACCTGGGAGGCGGAGCTTGCAGTGAGCCGAGATTCTGCCACTATAGCACAGGCGAGATAGCGAGACTCCATCTCAAAAAAATAAATAAATAAAATAAAATAAAAGTGAACTGTTTCACAGTAGCTGGATTTCGTAACGGCCCAAAAGCAGAAACCACTCAAGTGTCCACCAGTGGATGGGTGGATTAGCACAATGTGGTCCATCCACATGGTGGAATAGTATGCAGCCATGAAAAGGAACGAGGCTGTGACACAGGCTGCAATGTGGATGAGCCTTGAGGATGTCACACTCCGTGAGAGAAGCCAGACACAAAAGGCCACATAGAGTAAGATTCCATTTCTAGGAAAGGTCCAGAACAGGCAAATCCATGGAGGCAGAAAGTGGATGGGTGGTTGCCAGGGGATGGGGAGGGGGACGAATGACTGTTAATGGGGACAGGGTTTACTTTTGGGGTGAAGAAAATGCTCCAGACCTTTTGTTGTTGTTGGTTTGTTTGTTTATTTTTGAGACCGGGTCTCGCTCTGTGGCCCAGCCTGGAGCGCAGTGGCGTGATCTCGGCTCACTGCAACCTCCGCCTCCCAGGCTCAAGTGATTCTCCTGCCTCAGCCTCCCAAGTATCTGGGATTACAGGCACCAGCCACCAAACCCAGCTAACTTCTGTATTTTTAGTAGAGATGGGGTTTCGTCATGTTGGCCAGGCTGGTTTTGAACTCCTGACCTCAGGTGATCCGCCCGCCTCGGCCTCCCAAAGTGCTGGGATGACAGGCGTGAACCACCATGCCCAGCGCAAGTGTTCCGGAACTAGACAGAGGTGGTGGTACGCCATTGTGGATGTTTTAAATGCCCCTGTTCACTTTAAAACGGTTCCTTTTATGTTATGTGGAATGTATCTCAATTACAAAATTAAAAACAGAGGCCTGGCACGGTCACTCATGGTGGTCATCTCCGCACTTTGGGAGGCCGAGACCAGTAGATTGCTTGAGCTCAGGAGTTTGAGACCAGCCTGGACAACATGTCAAAACCCCGTCTCTACAAAAAAAATTAGCCAGGTGTGGTGGCAGGTGCCTGTGGTCCCAGCTAATTGGGAGGCTGAGGTGGGAGGATCGCTTGAGCCTGGGAGGCGGAGGTTGCAGTGAGCTGAGATCGCACCACTGCACTCCAACCTGGTGACAGAGTGAGATCCTAGCTCAAAAAAAAAATTGGCCGGGCGCGGTGGCTCACGCCTGTCATCCCAGCACTTCGTGAGGCTGAGGCGGGCGGATCACAAGGCTAGGAGATCGAGACCATCCTGACTAACACGGTGAAATCCCACCTCTACTAAAAATACAAAAAATTAGCCGGGCGTGGTGGTGGGCACCTGTGGTCCCAGCTACTCGGGAGGCTGAGGCAGGAGAATGGCGTGAACCCGGGAGGTGGAGCTTGCAGTGAGCCGAGATTGTGCCACTGCAGTCCGGCCTGGGCAAAAGAGCAAGACTGTCTCAAAAAAAAAAAAAAAATTAAAAATATAAATCTTTCAAAACCCTAAACAACTGTCTACAGTGTGATGTTCTGGGTCGTGGATAAGAGGAAAGTACTTATTAAAAGGATTCAAGGCTGCGTGCGGTAGCTCACGCCTGTAATCCCAGCACTTTGGGAGGTCGAGGCAGGAGGATTGCTTGAGGCCAAGAGTTTGAGACCAGCCTGGGCAACATAGTCAGACCCCATCTCTAGAAAAAAATAAAAAAATTAGGCGGGCATGGCGGTGCATGCCTGCAGTCTCAGCTACTCGGGAGGCTGAGGGTGGAGGATCACTTGAGCCTAGGAGGTCAAGACAGCAGCTGTGATCGTACAACCGCACTCCAGCCTGGGTAACGGAGTGAGACCCTGTCTCGGAAGGAAGAGAGAAAGAGAGAGGAAGGAAGAGAGAAAGAGAGAGGAAGAAAGAGAGAAAGAGAGAGGAAGAAAGAGAGAGAAAAAGAAATCTCAGCTCCAAGTATTACCAAGAAAAATAAGAGATGACACATAGGAAAACCTGTTTCTAATGAGCTCAAGCACGGGCCAAGTTCAATCAGAGATATGCATGACATTTATTATTATCATGAACAACACCAAAATAGATGCAGTTAGGGGTGATACAAAATGCTGGCCAGGCGCGGTGACTCACATCTGTAATCCCAGCACTTTTCGGAGGCCGAGACGGGCAGATCTCCTGAGGTCGGGAGTTCGAGACCAGCCTGGCCAACGCGGCAAAACCCAGTCTCTACTAAAAATATAAAAGGTAGCCGGGCGTGGTGGCAGGTGCCTGTAATCCCAGCTACTTGGGAGGCTGAGGCAGGAGAATCGCTTGAACCCGGGAGGCGGCTCCAACCTGGGCGACAAGAGCAAAAACTACGTCTCAAAAAAAAAAAAATAGAGAGAAAAGAAAATGCCATCTGCGTGCTCTTTGCAAACATTTCCCCATCTGCGTGCTCTTTGCAAACATTTCCTCCCGAAAGTCTCCCGGAATGATAAAAGCAACCACACAGCCTGGCCACCTAGAATCTGGGTCCGCTTGTTCCAGGCTCAGAATCTTTTTCCTCTCAGCCAGTCTCATCTTCCGGGCTGTCAACAGCGTGTGCAGGGCCGCAGGATTTATAGGTAATGACATGCTTCTAATTCTCCATTACCTCCAAAGATTTCATCTTCCCCTTTTCTAAATCCTTCTTAGGAGATACTTGTCAGGTTCATCTGGCCCAGCAGCTTCTGACAAGGGGACCCCGCTCATCCCCGTCATCTCTGTGACTTCATGTAAATAGCGGCACGTGGCGGCCGCCTTTGGCCCTCGGCCCCGAATCCATTGCGGAGTCTCACTTCCATTAATTCTTAATTTGTGACCACGCTTCCTTTTCTGTTCTGTGTTTAAATGGAGATGTGATTAGTAAGGTAATAGGAGAAAGCCGGGGTCCTCACGATGCAACGTGCATTTCTGCGCCTTATAGAAAATTGGATAGGCGTCATTATTTCTTCCAGTAGCAGAGTGCATTCTGACATCTGATTGCTTGAACTGTGATATTTCCATACGCCATCCATCACCCCGGCCACGGCGGCACGCTGAATATTCAGATTAAATTGGAACTTTTTCCCTATGAATAAGGGATTTCATTCTATCCTATAAGATACACTGTCTCCGGGGAGAGGAAATTGAGTTGAAGGTTGCTGAAAATCGTATTATCCAAATACAGAGTTCTTTTCCTTATCATCAAAACCTGAAACACAGCCGTGGGGAACCGAGAGGTCAGGAGAGAATTCAATTAGAGAGGAAAATGGAAAAGGGAGCATTTTTCCACTTACGTTTTATTTTGCCAAGCAGGTGGCAGCGGGCGCCGCTCGGGACAAAAGGGGCGATGTGTGAAGGGTTTTTGGTTTCTGGAAGATGGATGAGGACACAGCCTCAAGGAGTTATGAAGAGGCAGGAAAACCTCTACAGCAAATGTTCCATCCTCTCCTTTGCCGGTTTTGGACGAGGTATCTGTGAGAGTTCCTGGCCTCTTACTGCCACAGTTACGGTGGTTTCTTTTTTTGGGAGGGAGTCTCGCTCTGTCACCCAGGCTGGAGTACAGCAGCGCGATCTCGGCTCACTGCAACCTCCGCCTCCACCGGGTTCAAGCGATTCTCCTGCCTCAGCCTCCCCAGTAGCTGGGATGACAGGTGCACGCCACCACATCTGGCTAATTTTTGGATTTTTAGTACAGATGGGGCTTCACCATATTGGCCAGGCTGGTCTCGAACTCCTGACCTTGTGATCCGCCCACCTCGGCCTCCCAAAGTGCTGGGATTATAGGAGTGAGCCACCACTCCCGGCCCACGGTTAGAGTCTAAACTGTGCACGCTGCCTGGAGTCCCCACCTCTCCTCACCTGAAATATGCACTCGGAAATGTGTTTCCAAAACCTGCAGAATGCAGACCCACACTACTTTCCTATTTATTTATTCATTTTGAGACAGAGTCTCGCTCTGTCGCCAGGCTGGAGTACAGGGGCATGATCTCTGTTCACTGCAAGCTCCGCCTCCCGGGTTCAAGTGATTCTCCTGCCTCAGCCTCCCGAGTTGCTAGGGTTACAGGTGCCCGCCACCACGCCCAGCTAATATTTGTATTTTTAGTAGAGACGGGGTTTCACCACGTTGGCCAGGCTGGTTTCGATCTCTTGACCTCGTGATCCACCCCTGTCGGCCTCCCAAAGTGCTGGGATGACACTGTGCTCGGCTGGGTTTTTTGTTTTTTTTTGTTTGTTTGTTTTGTTTGTTTGTTTTAAGTCATCGTGCGGAATGCAAGCGGCAGATATAAACTTGATCCCTCTTTGACCTCTCACTGCACGCACCTAGCTGGGAGCTTTGGGTCGGCGCAGGACCAGGGAGATCCTACTTGCCAGGTGCTTCCTCTGAGGCATCTCCAGGTCTGGAGCTTTAGTGTTCGATCAACCACCCAGGTCTGCGGGGCGAAGGCCGACTGAGATCCAGAGCATGTCATACAGTGGGTGAGTTTGCATTTCTGAGCAGCTGCAGGTGGGGCAGAGGCTGCAGAGGCTGTGGCCACACAGGAGACCCGGGCTCAGGTGGATGAAGGAAGGAGCTTCTCTCCCTCTACAACCGTTGTGGCTCCCTCCTTCCTCACCTCCCTGGGAAGCGCTGACCCAGCTCTTTGTTCCTGGACCTACATCCCACAGAGGAGCAGAGTCTTCCGGAATCTTCCTCGCTACTCTTCCCTCCCCATTCTCGCTTTTTATTTTATTTTTATTTTTATTTTTTCGAGAGGGAGTCTCGCTCTGCTGTCCAGGCTGGAGTGCAATGCTGTGATCTCGGCTCACTGCAACGTCTGTCTCCTGGGTTCAAGTGATTCTTCTGCCTCAGTCTCCCAAGTAGCTGGGATTACAGGCACCCGCCATCATGCCCAGCTAATTTTTCTATTTTTGTAAAGACGGGGTTTCACCATGTTGGCCAGGCTGGTCTCGAACTCCTGACCTCAGGTGATCTGCCTGCCTCAGCTTCCCAAAGTGCTGGGATGACAGGTGTGAGCCACCACGTCTGGCTAATTTTTGTATTTTTGTAGAGACGGGGTTTCAGCATGTTGGTCAGGCTGGTCTCGAACTCCTGACCTCAGGTGATCCTCCCACCTCAGCTTCCCAAAGTGCTGGGATAACAGGTGTGAGCCACGATATCTGGCTGCTTTTTAAAATTTAATGCTTTTAGGGACAGAGTCTTTCATTCCTGCCTCGGCTGGAGAGCGGTGGTGAGATCTCGGCTCACTGAAGCCTCAACCTCCCAGGCTCAAACGATCCTCCTACCTCAGCCTCCCGAGTAGCTGGGACCACAGGCACACGCCAGGATGCTCAGCTAATTTTTAAATATTCTCTAGAGATGGGGCTCGCCATGTTGCCAAGGCTGGTCTTGACCTCCTGGGCTTAAACAATCCTCCTGCCTCGGCCTCCCAAAGTGCTGGGATGACAGGTGTGAGCCACCATGCCTGGCTAATTTTTGTATTTTTGTAGAGACGGGGTTTCACCATGTTGGCCAGGCTGGTCTCGAACTCCTGACCTCAGGTGATCCACCACCTCGGCCTCCCAAAGTGCTGGGATGACAGGTGTGAGCCACCGTGCCTGGCTAATTTTTGTATTTTTGTAGAGACGGGGGTTTCACCATGTTGGCCAGGCTGGTCTTGAACCCCTGACCTCAGGTGATCCACCGTCTCGGCCTCCCAAAGTGCTGGGATGACAGGCATGAGCCACTGCAATCTCCCGGCCTGCCCTCACCTTTCTCTCCCCAGGACAATTCTGGTGGCCACCCACCACCCCTGCAAGACGGACAGACCCGAATGGGCAGGGCGTCCATCCGGCTGTGGAGCAGCTTGGATAATTGCAGCTGGCCACATCCCAGCAAACTCTGCAACACCTCAGGCCCTGCCAGCCTTGGGGGCCCGACAGCACCTCTTTGTTCTCCCAGAGCAAAGCCTGCACGGAGTGGGCCCCCGGGCCCCAGCGCAGACTGAAGGCGCATTCTGTTTCTGCCCTGAGTTGATTTCTGTCCTGTTGGCCCTGGGCCTCACTACACTGTGCCCCAGTAACCTGGCAGAGAAAGGCCTCTTGTGCAGGCATTCAAAGGAAACCCTTTCCCCTCAAAACTGCAGTGATGCTTCCAACAGTGACTCGCAGCTCATCGAAACACCCAGAATGAAAAGCACGTTTGTTCCTTGAAAAGACGTCTGTGTCCGATACATACTCAAACAGAGAACTGTATTAATATATTCACTTCCCTCCAGAAATCACAGCATCGCACACACACACAAACGGTTGCTTCCCAATTAGGAAAAATAACTTCACAGAATTCCTGCGTGATGGCGCTCTTCTGACCAAGTACACTCGGATTTTTATATCCAATCACGAAACACAAACTGAAATTCAAATCATTATGTACACAACACAAAACTATCGTTTATGAGTGATTTAAATCGGGTGCGGTGGCTCACGCCTGTAATCCCAACGCTTTGGGAGGCAGAGACAGAGGCAAAGGCAGGAAGATTGCTTGAGGCCAGGAGTGTGAGACCAGCAACACCTCGTCTCTATAAACAATAAAATTAAAAATGAGCCAGGCATGGTGGCGCATGCCTGTTGTCCCAGCTGCTTGGAAGGCTGAGGTGGGAGGATCGCTTGAGCCAGGAGATCAAGGCTGCACTCAGCTAAGATCGCAGCCTGGGTGACGGAGCAAAACCCTGTCTCATACGAACAAAAAGAGTTATTTAGGCCGGGCGTGGTAGCTCACGCCTGTAATCCCAGCACTTTGGGAGGCCGAGGCGGGTGGATCACTTGAGGTCAGGAGTTCGAGACCATCCTGGCTAATACGGTGAAACCCTGTCTCTACCAAAAATACAAAAATTAGCCAGGCGTGGTGGCGGGCGCCTGTAATCCCAGCTACTCGGGAGGCTGAGGCAGGAGGATCCCTTGAACCCGGGAGGCGGAGGTTACAGTGAGCTGAGATCTTGCCATCGCACTCCAGCCTGGGCGACAGAGCGAGACTCCAACTCAAAAAAAAAATAAAACTAAAAAAAGAGTTATTTTTTTTTTTTTTGAGACAAAGTCTGGCTCTGTCGCCCAGGCTGGAGTGCAATGGTGTGATCTCAGCTCACTGCAACCTCCACCTCCTGGGTTCAAGCAATTCTCCCGCCACAGCCTCCCGAGTAGCTGGGACTACAGGCACACGCTACTATGCCCGGCTAATTTTTCTATTTTTAGTAGAGATGGTGGGGGCGGTTTCACTATGCTGGCCAGGCTGGTCTCGAACTCCTGACTTCGTGATCTGCCCGCTTCAGCCTCCCAAAGTGCCGGGATTACAGACTTGAGCCACCGCGCCCGGCCAAGGGTTACTTATTGAGTCTGGCTCGATTTATGCAGCTCAGAAGTAGGAGAACCTGGCTCATAAAAGACCTTGAAATTACTCTCTAACAGGGTGCAACACCAGGTGAAACCCTATTTTGATAAAAAATGAATAAAAAGCGGGGCAAGATGTAAAGGAAACAGGTGCATGTGTGCCAGACAGATGATAATGCAGTGTTTTTATGGATACTGTTAAAAGCAGAAACAAAAACGACCATTGGGTAAAGTTATTTAACTAATGTCACCTCCCTGGACGTGGATGATTTTTGCAATTTTCAACGCACTTCACGCTCATCCCTGAACACCAACGTTTAAAGGGGTCCAACTCCTCCAACCTGTCTCTACTGTTTGATAAGCAAAGCTAAAGTAAACGGGGCCCTTTGGGTCCCAGGTAGCCCGCTGTTATTGAAAAGTTTGATCTTTTCCTCGCGCGCTCCCGTAGGACGCACGCTCGCTCCCGAGCTCGGCGGGCGCGCACCCCGCATGCTCGCTCGTTCCCGGTGCCTCCCACTGCGCAGGCGCACTCCCGTCCTCCAGCCCCACCCGCTCACACACCTCCCAGCCTCTGGCTTGCGCCCCGCGGGCAGCCATTGCGCACGCTCACCCGACCGGCCTCCCGAACTCCGCTCCTCCACCGCTATGCACGGCGCATGCTCCATGCGGAGGTTCCACCCTCTCCTCGCTCTGGCAGGCACGCATTGCGCATGCTCGCATTTCCGCAGCTCTAGGACTGCCACGCCGCCATGGGCCGCGCCTCTAAAAATCCTAAACGCAGAAAGAGCTCGGGCGGTACGGCCGCCACAGCCCCTCCCTCGTCCTCACCGCAGCCGCTCGGCCCCACCAAAGCCTCCTGCAAAAGCTCCGAGGGCCGCGGGGCGCGCGTGGCTAGCGGCGGCGTCGCCTCGTGATGACATCGTCGCGATGACGCGACGCAGTGACGTGAACGCGGGCGCCCTTGTTTGGGAGCGCGGCCGGCGCGCCCGTTTTGAAGCTGCCCTGAGCAGCGCGGGCCGGACCGCGCCCCCTCCTCGGTCCCCGCGCCCCGCGAGTCCGCGCAGTTCCCGAGGCGCGGGCCCTGTTCCCTGCGCCGCGCCCCCTCAGCGGGCCGTGCTCGCATCACCGAGGTCGGTCCGGGGCGGACCGAAGCCCCCGGGGCGGGGCGGGGCGCGGGCGTCCGGGGGCGCCGCGGGCCCAGCCCCCGCCATGCCGCCCGGCAAAGTGCTGCAGCCGGTCCTGAAGATGAAGGTGGACGAGCTGTTCCTGTACTGGCTCAGCGAGGCCAGCACGCAGCGGATGCTGCAGGACTGCCTGCGCCGGATCAAGGCGCCCGGGCGGGACCAGCCGACCCCGGGGGACGGGGAGCAGCCCGGGGCCTGGCCCACAGCCCCGCTCGCCGCCCCCCGGCCCAGCGGGCTCGAACCCCCGGGAACCCCCGGGCCGGGCCCTGCGCTGCCCCTGGGCGCCGCCTCCAGCCCCAGGAACGCGCCCCACGTTCGAGGCACCCGTAGATCCGCAGGGACGAGAGTAGTAAGTTACTCTTCCTTCTGCTAACAACTGCGCAGGTGGCTCTGGTCGCATAGTGGGCGTGTGGCTGCGCGATGGAGGCTGGTGGGCGAGCGTCAGACCCCAAAACGGTTTCATATTGAGTCTGTTCCCCGCCCCGACCCCCCCCACCACACACATACAGACAAGAAAGTCCCACGTACTGAACATTCCGTCATTGACAGTTGTTAACCTAAAAATCACACAATTTATAAAGGTAGAAAGGCTTCCTATTTTATTTTATTTTATTATTTTAATTTGTTTTAATTTTGAGACAGAGTTTTGCTCTGTTGCCCAGGCTGGAGTACGATGGCGCGATCTTGGCTCACTGCAACCTCTGCCTCCCAGGTTCAAGCGATTCTCCTGCCTCAGGCTCCCGAGGAGCTGGGACTTACAGGCACGTGCCACCACGCCTGGCTGATGTTGTATTTTTAGTAGAGACTGGGTTTCCCCCATGTGGGCCAGGCTGGTCTCGAACTCCTGACCTCAAGTGATCCTCCCGCCTTGGCCTCCCAAAGTGCTGGGATTTCAGACGTGAGTCACTGCGCCTGGTCCGTTTTTTATTTATTTTACAATTCTTTGGAGACAGGGTCTTGCTCTGTCTCCTAGGCTGGAGTGCAGTGGCGCAAACACAGTTGGACTTCCTGCCTCAGCCTCCCCAGTAGCTGGGATTACAGGCGTGCACCATCACGCCAGGCTAATTTTTGTTTATTTATTTATTTATTTATTTTTGCAGAGACGAGGTCTTGCTATGTTACCTAGAGTGCTCTGGAATTCCTGGGTCCAAGCAATCCTCCCGCTTCGGCCTCCCAAAATCCCACTGTATTTCTTAGAAGAAACGCCATTTATTTCATAGAAGGTGATTATACACCGCAGGTGAGAAGCGCAGCCTCTGGCTAATGTACCTGTAATCTCAGCTACCCGGGAGGCTGAGGCAGGAGAATCACTGGAACCCAGGAGGCAGAGGCTGCACTCCAGCCTGGGCACCAGAGCAAGACTCCATCTCAAAAAAAAAAAAAAAAAAAAAAAAAAGAAAACTAAAAACAAGCACTTGGAGGGAAGAAAAGATGAGACGGGAATTTATGCTGAGTGGGTTGGCCAAGTGTATATATTCAAGAAGTTATAGGAAGAGCTATGGATATTCACCAAGGGTGTCCTGACGCATGGGTATTGAACAAACATGCATGTTACCTACTCCCGAGTTCACCTTGGAGCGGAGACTTAACATTTAAATGCATTATGGTTAGGCCCCCTAGGTCAAAAGGTGAAGCAACTCTGCAGCCTCTGTCAACCGGCCAGAACCAGTCCGTGGTGAGTAGTTACCAGGATAAAGTGATTGCAATCAGTTTTTTTTTTTTTTTTTTTTTTTTGAGACAGATTCTCACTCTCACCCAGGCTGAGATGCAATGGTGCAATCTCAGCTCACTGCAACCTCCGCCTCCCGGGTTCAAGCGATTCTCCTCCCTCAGCCTCCCGAGTAGCTGTGATTACAGGCGCACACCACCACCCCCGGCTAATTTTTGTATTTTTAGTAGAGGCAGGCTTTCACCTTGTTGGCTAGACTGGTCTCAAACTCCTGACCTCAGGTGATCCACCCGCCTCAGCCTCTCAAAGTGCTGGGATGACAGGCGTGAGCCACCACACCTGGCCTGGAATCAGTCTTTTCCCAGTCAAAGCTGTAGTTACGGCTGGTGGAACAGAGGGGTCTGTTCATCAGGATCTGACAGGAAGCTGCAGGTGTTTTAATATTGTTTATATTGGTCAGGCATGGTGACTCACGCCTGTGATTCCAGCATTTGGGAGTTGGAGGCAGGCAGATCACTTGAGTTCAGGAGTTCGAGACCAGCCTGGGCAACATGGCGAAACCCCATCTCTGCTAAAAATACACAAATTAGCCAGGCGTGGTGGCGCACCTGAAGTCTCAGCTACTCAGGAGGCTGAGGCAGGAGAAATGCTTGAAGCTGGGAGTCGGAGATTACTGTGAGCTGAGATTGCACCACTGCTCACCAGCCTGAGCAACAGAGGAAGGCCCTGTCTCAAAAAAAAAAAAAAAGTATATATATATATATAGAGAGAGAGAGAGAGAGAGAGTCTTCTTGCGTGCGCGAGCTTGAGGCCAAGATAAGCAATAGAGAAAAAGAAAAACATCCTTTATTTACTTCTTGAATCTCAAAAACGAGTTTCTGCAGAGGTCTCTAGTGAATAACCTAAAAGGACATTTAGCTGCTGGAGAAAAAGAAATGCTTTGGCAGTTGGAACTGTAGTTTATTCTTTAAGTGTAGGCGGTGTGTGACTTAACCCTCACCTCAGGTGGCCCTTGGTCTTGTTTGCCACAGAGTCTGTTCTGTCAGTCTTACGATGTTGATTTTAACCTTTTTGCTGGTTGGTTGTGTTTAAACTGCCAAAGCAGGAGGGGTATAATAAGGTGTGTCCAAACTCCCATCCAGTCATGACTGGGAACTTAGTTGTTTTTTTGTTTTTTTGGTTTTTTTTTTTTTTTTTTTTTTTTTTTTTTGAGACGGAGTCTCGCTCTGTCCCCCAGGCTGGAGTGCAGTGGCGCGATCTCGGCTCACTGCAAGCTCCGCCTCCCGGGTTCACGCCATTCTCCTGCCTCAGCCTCCCAAGTAGCTGGGACTACAGGCGCCCGCCACCACGCCCGGCTAATTTTTTTGTATTTTTAGTAGAGACGGGGTTTCACCGTGTTAGCCGGGATGGTCTTGATCTCCTGACCTCGTGATCCGCCCGCCTCGGCCTCCCAAAGTTTTGGGATTACAGGTGTGAGCCACCGTGCCCGCCGACAGCCGTGTATTTTTAAAAATGCTTTCTGTCGTTTTATACTATGCAGTTTAAAGCGATAAAACATTGCTTCCAGATGTTATAGAAACACGTATGGCTGGTGCGTCTGGTGTCCCGAGAATACTACGGAAGCCTGAAATATTCAGAATGTTCCGTCGGAACTTGTTTATACCATTTGAAAATTTTCAGCTGAACACCAGCTTTCCATCAGCAGCACTAATAAGCATGTCACAAAGTGATATTTACGTAGCACCACAGTTTTCCAGCCAAAATGGACCAGCCTCTCTACTTGCTGAGTGAGAGGTGGGTGGCAATCTGAGGTGAGCTCCTTGCGTTCTAAATTACCGGTGGTTGTCCGATGTCTTCTGATGGATCTAGAACATTTTCCAAAAGTACGTGTCGATGAAAATGTGAACTAGAGCTAGAGGCAGCTTGGAGACCGTCTGGCTCAGGCCCTCCAGATCCCGATCCAGGAGGGGACTCAGGGCCCCAGGACGCATCTCTTGAGCTCCGGCCCAGTGCACTTTCCCAGTGAGCTGCAAAACCTGAAGCACCTTAGGAACTCTTGCCCAAATCCCTCATTTACTGAGGAGGTTGAGAGGAGGGCCAGGACTCAAGAAGCATGTGCTAGTAATGATGGTTCCCCTCCATGACTTGCTTTCTCAGTGGGATCGCTAATGAGCTGCCATTTTGTCCTTAAACGTGTTGAATGACAGCCAGACGCTAAGGTAAATGCTTGAATTGTGTGACTTTGCAAGAATTCTCCTAGGGCTGGGACTATTGTGACTTTGCATGAATTCTCCTAGGGCTGGGAATATTGACGGAAGGTCAGGTCTGTGCAAACGAGGCCATTTGGGTGCATGTGAGAGGATGATATATTCTGTAAATCAGGCAAGAAGCCTCTAACAAGTGGAAATTAAGTTCCAAAGGTGTTCAAAGCAGGGAGACATCATTTCTCTCCTGGAGAAAGTTTTGAGGAGGAAGTGAGTAGTGGAACTTGAGAAATGCACTGAGTTTATTGGGTATAGGGGGCAGGACCAAGGGAGGCGGTGAAAATGAGACCAGGCTCAGTCGCTCACACCTGAATTCCTAGCACTTTGGGAGGCTGAGGTGGACGGATCACCTGAGGTCAGGAGTTCGAGATCAACCTGGCCAACATGGTGAAACCCTGTCTCTACTAAAAATACAAAAATTAGCTGGGTGTGGTGGTGGGCACCTGTAATCCCAGCTACTCTGGAGGCTGAGGCAGGAGAATCACTTGAACCTGGGAGGCGGAGATTGCAGTGAGCTGAAATTGTGCCACTGCACTCCAGCCTGGGTGACAAGAGTGAGACACTCTGTCTCAAAAAAAAAAAAAAAAGAAAAAAAAAGATGAGATGTTCAGGTCACGTTGAGGGACTGGAGTGGTCTGACCGGAGAAGCAGAAGGAAGGATGCGTGTGGACCGTGGGCATGGCGGCCAGGGTGTGCAGGGTGCAGGATTCTGCACTTAGGAGATGGCAAGAATTTTCAAAAAGCAGTGACTGACCTTGTTTGGGACTAAAAGTTTACCTTAAACATGTCTACGTGTTTGGAACCTATGGCTTACTTCAGCTGAATCTCAAGAAGTGAATAACTTAGAAAGATGTGTCTGTTCATTGGGACAAAAAAGATGAGCTTGGGCTGGGCACGGTGGCTCATGCCTGTGATCCCAGCACTTTGGGAGGCCGAGGCGGGCGGATCACAAGGTCAGGAGATAGAGACCATCTTGGCTAACACAGTGAAACCCTGTCTCTACTAAAGATACAGAAAATTAGCCGGGCGTGGTGGCGGGTGCCTGTAGTCCCAGCTACTCCGGAGGCTGAGGCAGGAGAATGGCATGAACCTGGGTGGCAGAGCTTGCAGTGAGCTGAGATCGCGCCACTGCACTCCAGCCTGGGTGACAGAGCAAGACTCTGTCTCAAAAAAAAAAAAAAAAAAAAAAAGATGAGCTTGTTCCTGTCCATCCCATATACAGAATACGCGAGGCCACGTTAACAGTGAAGGATGCAGTTCCATGCTACAAACTCTGGCTGGGGAGGGGCGATGCTGGGGTCAGAGGAAGAGATTTTCATAAATAAAGCAGCTTTTTCTCACCCACACATGTACAGAATGGAGTATGAGCTGTCAGGAGGGTTCACGCTAGGTCCATTGAACTCCCCAGCCAAGGGTGAAAGGAACGGCATTGTTTTACGTTACCTACGCCTTCATCGTTACTGAGCAGAGAGATTGCATTCTGTGTTTGAAAGGGGTGCTTGCAGTGGCTCCTTCCCGTCTTTGGGGAAGAGAAACTGGTACAAATTAGAAAATGTGAGCATTGGCCGGGTGCAGTGGCTCAATCCCAGCACTTTGGGAGGCCAAGGAGGGAGGATCCCTTGAGGCCAGGAGTTTGAGCCCAGCCTGGGCAACATAGCGAGACTCCCCCATCTCTGTAAAATAGTAAAATCAGCCAGGCATGGTGGTTCATGCCTGAAGTCTCAGCTGCTTGTGAGGCTGAGGCAGGAAGATCCCAGGAGTTCGAGGCTGCAGTGAGCTATGTTTGTGCCAGTGCACTCCCGCCGGGGCAACAAAGTGAGACTCTGTCTCTAAAAAAAAAAAAAAGAAAGAAAACGCCAGTATCGATGGGCTGATGCTGCAAGCCAGGGTGCTTCTGCTAGGGGGGACCCTAAATGCATCTTTAAAGTAAGTTCTTACAAGGGGAATTAAGAACCTCATGTGGATGAGCTGCTTTTTTTTTTTTTTTTTTTTTTTTTGAGATGGAGTTTCACTCTTGTTGCCCAGGCTGCAGTGCAATGACGCAATTTCGGCTCACTACAACCTCCACCTCCTGCAGTTCAAGTGAGTCTCCTGCCTCAGCCTCCCGAGTAGCTGGGATTACAGGCACCCGCCACCACGCCCGGCTAGTTTTGTATTTTTAGTAGAGATGGGGTTTCACTATGTTGGTCAGGCTGGTCTTGAACTCCTGACCTCAGGTGATCCACCCGCCCCAGCCTCCCAGAGTGCTGGGATGACAGACGAGGGCAACCACACCCGGCCAGTACTGCACGATTTTGATTGCATTTCCCTGCGGCCTGGTGACGCCGAGGAATTTTCAGGTGCTTATTTGCCATTCATGTGGTTCCCACTGTCGAGCGTCTGTTCAGGTCGTGTGTTTGCTTTTTAAATTGGGTTATGTTATCACTGAGTTGCGAGAGCTCTTTACATACAACTGTTGGCAAGTCCTTGGTAAGACAATGTGGTGTGTGCATATGTCTCTTGAGTCTGGCTTGCTTTTTGTTTTCTTCAGTGTCTCAAAGAGCAAAAGTGTTTAGTTTTTCAACTTTTTTCTTTTATGACTCTTATTTTTTGTGTCTTATTACAAAATGTTTGCATACCACAAGGTGTCAAATATTTTCTCCTATTTATCTTGAGAAAGCAGTGTGGTTTTAGGTTTGCGTTTCGGCCTGTGATCCAGTTCAGGTCAGTTTTTCTGCGTGGTATGAGGTGAGGTATCTGGATGACCCCAGCACCGTATATTGAACAGTCTTTTCTCCCCCCGTGGAATTGTGTTGTTGAAAGTCAGTTGAGTACGTACGTCTGTTTTATTATTATTTCCATCCCATTGCTGTATGTGCATCCCCTCACCTTCATGGCACTTTCCAGATTAGTGTAACTTTCTAGCAAATTTTGAAAGCAGATACTGTGAGTCCAAGCCTGTTCTTTAAAAATTGCTTTCCAGCAAGAAAAGCCTGTTGGAATTTTGATTGGGATTGCTTTGAATCTGTGGATCAATTTAGGATAATTGATACCTTAACAGTATTTTCCAATCCACAAACAAAGGACTTTCCATTCATTTAGGTTTTGTTCAGCAACGTTGTGTACTTCCCCGGGTACACCTCTTGCACCTCCTTGATTAAGTTTCTATCTGTTTATTTAGTTCTTCTCTAATTTCTGGAAGCTACTCAGTTTTGGTGTCCACCTAACCTGTGATTTTTATCAGACCGGGTGCCAGCATTCTAGAACATTAGAACAGGGTATTTGGAGATAAACACGGGCGTGCGTGTGCATCACACACACAGGTGCATACACACAAACACACAGGTGCATACACACACACAGGTGCATATGCACAAACACAGGTGCATACACACATAGGTGCATACACACATAGGTGCATACACAGGTACATACACACATAGGTGCATACACACAGGTGCATAACAGGTGCATACACACGCATACACACATACATAGGTCCATACACACAGATACATACACACAGGTGCATACACATACATAGGTCCATACACACACACACACATAGGTGCATACACACAGGTGCATACACAGGTGCATACACACGCATACACACATACATAGGTCCATACACACAGGTACATGCACACATAGGTGCATACACACACATAGGTGCATACACACAGGTGCACACACAGGTGCATACACACACACGTAGGTGCATACACACACACAGGTGCATACACACAAACACACAGGTGCATACACACACACAGGTGCATGTACATACAGGTGTGGTTATCTTAACGTTTCATTAGAAGTTCTTAACAAACATGTTGTAAGACAAAAGCACCTAGAACCCTCAGGGCAGGAGCTCAGGGTTTCTGAAGGTTTCGTGCGGGAGCCTTGAGCTTGCCCAGGGACTGTAGCTTTTGTACAGGTGCGTGCCTGTCTGCGTTCAGTTCTCACTGCCTTCGTAACAACGACCTATTCACGTTTTCATAGTGGGCACCGATGAGAGTCTCGTTGTGAGGAGGAAGGAAGGTGTCGAAAACCCTTCTTGCAACCTCCGAGAATCTGCAACCATGGAAACTGTGTAAAGAGCTTCATCCCTCCCTCCCCTTCTGTTGACAGAGAGAACCATGCCGTTTCCTGAGATGAGGTGGACGGGTTTTGAATCCGCTGGAGCCTGTCCTCTCAGGGCCTTTGAAACAGGGAGGAAGCCGTGCTCTGCAGACGGCACCTGCAGGGTGAGGACAGGATTCTGGGCCATCTTCCTGTCTCATAGGCTTGCCTGTTACTAGCTATGCTTTTAGCTTTGGATGTTCAGAAAAACTTTTTCTCACAAAGGGCAGGTCGCCTTCGTAAGCCTTTCAAATCTGGGATTTCAGAAAAGCCATTATGTTTGCTCATGGAAGACACATTTTTATCCTAAAACAAGCCGTCTGAACAAATGTATGTTTAGTGAGAATGAAAAGTGAAGAGATTTTTATGAAAATTTTGCATAAAGGTCTTCTGGGCATTTTAGGAGCCTTTAGAGGTTGATGGTAAGATTGTGTCCCGACAGCAGAGGGACGGTGGAGATTCGGGTGCCGTGAGGGGCTTCATCGGCCCAGATGGCAATGTTGTCTCTTCAGAGTAGGAATTTGGGGGGAACAGGCTGAAAACAGGCCTCGCAGATTCCGTGCTGGCCTGTGGTGCAAAAACAATGCTATGACGGCCCCGTCCCTGTACACAGTAGTGTATAGACAGCCCTGTGGTGGTCCTGTCAAGTGTGGACGGCCCGTCCCTGTACACAGTAGTGTATAGACAGCCCCATGGCGGCCCCACTGTAGACGGCCCGTCCCTGCATACAGTAGTGTATAGACAGCCCCATGGTGGCCCCACTGGGTGTGGATGGCCCGTCCCTGTACACAGTAGTGTATAGACAGCCCCACGGCGGACCCACTGGGTGTGGACGGCCCGTCCCTGCATACAGTAGTGTATAGACAGCCCCATGGTGGCCCCACTGGGTGTGGACGGCCCGTCCCTGTACACAGTAGTGTATAGACAGCCCCATGGTGGCCCCACTGGGTGTGGACGGCCCGTCCCTGTACACAGTAGTGTATAGACAGCCCCATGGCGGCCCCACTGGGTGTGGACGGCCCGTCCCTGCATACAGTAGTGTATAGACAGCCCCATGGCGGCCCCACTGTAGACGGCCCGTCCCTGTACACAGTAGTGTATAGACAGCCCCATGGTGGCCCCACTGGGTGTGGACGGCCCGTCCCTGTACACAGTAGTGTATAGACAGCCCCATGGCGGCCCCACTGTGGACGGCCCGTCCCTGTACACAGTAGTGTATAGACAGCCCCATGGTGGCCCCACTGGGTGTGGACGGCCCGTCCCTGTACACAGTAGTGTATAGACAGCCCCATGGCGGCCCCACTGTGGACGGCCCGTCCCTGCATACAGTAGTGTATAGACAGCCCCATGGCGGCCCCACTGGGTGTGGACGGCCCGTCCCTGTACACAGTAGTGTATAGACAGCCCCATGGCGGCCCCACTGTGGACGGCCCGTCCCTGCATACAGTAGTGTATAGACAGCCCCATGGTGGCCCCACTGGGTGTGGACGGCCCGTCCCTGTACACAGTAGTGTATAGACAGCCCCATGGCGGCCCCACTGTGGACGGCCCGTCCCTGCATACAGTAGTGTATAGACAGCCCCATGGTGGCCCCACTGGGTGTGGACGGCCCGTCCCTGTACACAGTAGTGTATAGACAGCCCCATGGCGGCCCCACTGGGTGTGGACGGCCCGTCCCTGCATACAGTAGTGTATAGACAGCCCCATGGCGGCCCCACTGGGTGTGGACGGCCCGTCCCTGCATACAGTAGTGTATAGACAGCCCCATGGCGGCCCCACTGGGTGTGGACGGCCCGTCCCTGCATACAGTAGTGTATAGACAGCCCCATGGCGGCCCCACTGTGGACGGCCCGTCCCTGTATACAGTAGTGTATAGACAGCCCCATGGCGGCCCCACTGTGGACGGCCCGTCCCTGTACACAGTAGTGTATAGACAGCCCCATGGTGGCCCCACTGGGTGTGGACGGCCCGTCCCTGTACACAGTAGTGTATAGACAGCCCCATGGTGGCCCCACTGGGTGTGGATGGCCCGTCCCTGCATACAGTAGTGTATAGACAGCCCCATGGCGGCCCCACTGGGTGTGGACGGCCCGTCCCTGCATACAGTAGTGTATAGACAGCCCCATGGCGGCCCCACTGGGTGTGGACGGCCCGTCCCTGCATACAGTAGTGTATAGACAGCCCCATGGCGGCCCCACTGTGGACGGCCCGTCCCTGTACACGGTAGTGGATGGCCCCATGGGGGCTCTGTCGAGTGTGGACAGCCCTGTCCCTCCCCCATCCGGTGTAGACAGCCCTGTGGCTGCACTGGGGGCGGGTGGTGCGGGTTCTGCATCGGGACAGGACGCAAGGGCTCCAGGGGGGCAGTGGGACTGCATCCAGAGGTGGTTCGAGGGCTCCAGGTCAGAGTCTAAATCTCTGCCTATGTGTGCACTTCAGGATTTTGAGGCTGTTTTCCAAAAGTCTTTTTTTTTTTTTTTTCCTTTTTGAGACGAAGTCTCGCTCTTGTCCCCCAGGCTGCAGTGCAGTGGCGCAATCTCGGCTCACTGCAACCTCTGCCTTCTGAGTTCAAGCGATTCTTCTCCCTCAGCCTCCCAAGTAGCTGGGATGACAGGCACCCGCCACCATGCCCAGCTAATTTTGTATTTTTAGTAGAGACAGGGTTTCACCATGTTGGCCTGGCTGGTCTCGAACTCCTGACCTCATGATCTGCCTGCCTTGACCTCCCAAAGTGCTGGGATTACAGGCATGAGCCACTGTGCCTGGCTGTGTTCCAAAAGTCTTGTACGGAAAGAGGAAACCTGGCAGTAAAGTCCACAGGGGTGTGTGTCACCCGCCGTGGCAGGACAGGGCGTGTGTCACCTGGCGTGGCAGGACAGGGCATGTTGCCTGAGTGTGAGGATCGCGCCCGTTGGCTCGCTTCCCCCGCATTTTGGGTTTGATCTTTGACTTTCGGAGGGAGATCACAGGAGGTTGGCTCCCAATCTGGTTCCCCTAGCTGCGTTTGGGAGGCCGTCCGTGTGTAGTGCTGATATGAACTGAAGGGGCGGCACCTCTGCCCTGTGAGTTTGCGCCCCACATCGTGGGTGACTGGGCGGCACCTCTGTCCTGTGAGTTTGCGCCCCGCATCGTGGGTGACGGGACGGCACCTCTGCCCTGTGAGTTTGTGCCCCACATCATGGGTTACTGGGCCGCACCTCTGCCCTGTGAGTTTGCATCCTGCATCGTGGGTGACTGGGCGGCACCTCTGCCCTGTGAGTTTGCATCCTGCATCGTGGGTGACTGGGCAGCACCTCTGCCCTGTGAGTTTGCGCCCCGCATCGTGGGTGACTGGGCGGCACCTCTGCCCTGTGAGTTTGCGCCCCGCATCGTGGGTTACTGGGTGCACTTGTTTAAATCGTCTCCTGGTGGTTTGAGCACATTCCCTCTGGTGCTGTCTTAAAGCTTCCCTTTGGAGACTTACCGGGGGTCAGAGGCCGACTTCTGAATCCTCAAGGACAGTAAGGAAGTGAGAAGGATGGAGGGATCCGAGGATGGCTGGAGAAGGGAAGGAGGTGGAAGAGAAGGAAGTGGAGAGGGGCGTACCCCTAAGAAGAGTTGGAAGGGGCCTTGCGGGTGGGGGGCTGTGGTGGGCGTCAGAGGTGGTGTGGAAGGTTGCAGGAGAAGAAAAGGCCAGTCTGAGATGGCTGCAGACTTCTGGTTCCAAGTCTAGGACACTCGGAAAAAGGAAAACGATGGAGACAGGAAACAGATCGGGGCTTGCGGGGGTTGGGTGCGTCAGTGCCACACAGACGTTTTTCAGGGCAGGGAAACTCCTCTGCGTGACCCCACAGTGGTAGATCCGTGTCATCCTGCGTTTTTCCAGACTCAACAGAGCGTGCGGCAGCGGGAGAGCCCAGTGCACGCTGTTGACTCGGGGTGATAGTGACCCGTCCAAGGAGGTTTATTGACTGTAACAGATGCAGGCGGTCACGCAGGACCTTCCTGATCGGGGACCCGGGAGGCTTTCTGCTGACAGCGTTCAGCCTGGCAGGGATGTGGCCAGTTTCTGACCCTCAGCCCGAAGGTATCCTGTCTCCTTCCCGGTGGGATCGAGGTGCAGGCCCCCGGAATGTCAGCTCACCCTCATTTAAAGTTGCCCGTCCCCCTTTTCCACCGCCCCTCTTTTCTTGTTCTAAATACGATTGCAAACAAGCGCAGTTATCACAGTGAGCAGTGGCAGAGAAGACGAGATCCTGGATGCCCACTGCAGCTTAGCTGTATTCTAGAAACTCCTGAAGTTTGGGGAGGGGCGGAGATGCCGGCGCGCTTTGATGCCGGGCTGCCGGGATGTCTGGGCTGCCGTGCGTGTTTGTGGAGGCGCAGCTGCACCTGGCGTGCCCTGTGCTCTGGAGGGGCAAGCCGGAGTCGGCACCGAGCCTGCAGCCAGCTCTGGTGTTGTCGTGGAGGGGGGGGACCTCACTTCTCGCGGGGAGCGCCTTCGCCTGGGTCCCCGAGGCCGTCCCCAGGCTCTCTTCTCGGGGACCTGTTGATGCGCGTTCCGCCCAGGCTCTCCTCTCGGGGACCTGTTGATGCGCGTTCCGCCCAGGCTCTCCTCTCGGGGACCTGTTGATGCGCGCTCCAGGGCGAGCCACGTGACGGCTGCCGCGGTGCAGAAAGCGCCCCCTTGCCCGGCCGGACGGCCCAGCCCGGAGCGAACGGGGAGAGGAGAGAAGAGGACCGGAGGGAGCGGAGGGCAGTGCAGGGAGCGGAGAAGGAGGAGAGGAGAGCAGCGCCGGGAGCAGCCGGGTCTGCACAGTCGCGGGTCGGGAGAGGCGGCCGCCCCCACCCCCGGCGCCATGCGCCCTCCTCAGCCTGAGGAATGCGCGCGGCGCGGGCCCCGGCCCCAGAGCGCCTGGCGGGCGACGCATGGAGCGCGCTGAGCCCGGGCCACGCCTGCAGCGCCCCGCCGGCCCCGGCCCGGCCCTGCCCCGAGAGCGCGGCGCCCGGCCCGGCCCGCGGAGAGCCCTGCGCGCCGGCGGCATGCGACTCCGCGAGCGCTCGCTGCGCCAGGACCCCGACCTGCGCCAGGAGCTGGCCTCACTGGCCCGCGGCTGCGACTTCGTGCTGCCCTCTCGGTTCAAGAAGCGGCTGAAGGCCTTCCAGCAGGTCAGCCCCGCGCGCCCCGCGGCTGCCCGACACCGGGCGAGGCCTCCCGGCCCGGCGAGCCCTGCCCTCCCGGCCCCGCGTGGGCCCCCGCTCGCCGCTGCTGGCCGTGCACCCGTTGTTGCGTGGCGGGGCCCAAACGCCAGATTTACAGGGCCAGTTGTGGGCGCAGGGGACCCGCTCGGGCCGCACGCCGCCGAAAACCGGGTGCTGCTCTGTGGGAAGCGGTGCCAAGCTTGTTAGGAAAACCGGGCTTTGAAAAGAGCACTCGCTCCTTTCCCGGGAGTTTTGGCTGTGAGTGCGCGCCTTGCTGTGATCAACCAAGGCGGGTGAGAGCCGTCAGCGCCTGGGAGTGTTCGCTGCAGACAGATTTTTAATTTAAATATACCTTGCATTGCTGGTAATAAACATCGGGAAACTCCTTCACCCTTCGTAAAGGCGTCGGGTGGGTGAAACTTTCCCGGCGTTATTGCAATACCCAGCATTCCTTCCCACTGGCTAACTTAAGAGTCGGTTGAGATATCACTCACATACCGGACTATTTATGCAGCGTGGTTTTATTCAGTAACTCAGTGGCTTTGAAATTTATTTATTTATATTTATTTATTTGAGACGAAGCCTCTCTGTTTCCCAGGCTGGAGTGCAGCGGCGCTATCTCGGCTCACTGCAACCTCCACCTCCTGGGTTCAAGTGATTTTCCTGCTTCAGCCTCCCGAGTAGGGCTAATTTTTGCATTTTTAGTAGGGACGGGGTTTCACCATGTTGGCCAGGCTGGTCTTGAACTCCTGACCTCAGGTGATCGCCCACCTGGGCCTTCCAAAGTGCTGGGAGTAGGGGCGTGAGCCTCCACCCCAGCTGGCTTTGAAATTTAATCTCAGTTCTCATAAGTGCTCAGGGAAGTAAAATTTGTGTCTGTACCCCGTGTATATTGTATGAGTTAGTTTTACGAGTACCATGTGATTTAAACGTGTAAGAGTCTTCCTGTGACAATCCCAGTATAATTTGAGAATTTAGGGTTTGGCTGCGGCCGAATCTGATCCGAATTTCATCCAGACAGGGTGTGCGTGGCGGGCGCCTCACACCCACGTGGCACATCAGACGCGCTTTTCAAACTCAGTTCCAGGAGTCTGGAACTAGTGGCCTAACATCAAGGTGAACCAAGGCATCCTGCTTGAAGGGGGAGGAAGACCCACTTCTTTCTGTTGATATTTTAATTGAAATTTTTTCTGTAAGATCTCACATCAACTTTTGCACTCCTTCGGAGTTTTTGACCTCTGTCTTCCAGGTTTTGACATTTTGCCTGTAAGTGGGTAAGGGCGAGGCTGGTGTCTTTAAAATCCTCTTAACCTGCGAAGAGCGAGATCAGCCTCGTGCGGGATTTGCTCTAGATGGTGGGAGGTGCTGGGCGGTGCGGGCTCGCTGGTCGCAGAGTCAATGAGGTGATTAGCTCGCACGTGGCTGGATGAGGAAGCCCTTCAGCCCTGCAGTGGGGCCCTGGCTCTTCTGTGGGGGGCTGTGGTGACGATGCACCTGTGAGGACTGTTTATTTTTAAAAAGTCAGTTTCTGGGAAATCATGAATTCCGTTTACAGAAGTTTGCTTCATTTTACAGAAAATAGGTTTCCACGTTTTTAGGGAGTGAGGACAGACGTGTGAAATGCATGTTGTCTGAGGGGTGGTGGAGGAATTACAGGCATATTTGGGGGTATTTGTGGGGGTGGTGTTGGGGGAGAAGGGGACGTTTCCTGGCTGCTTTCACTCCGCGCATGAGTGTGGGCTCTGTCTGTTGGGTCCACCCCACTTGGACACACCCTCAGGGTTGTCAGGGAGCACCCGTGTTGGAGCCACTGGACGTGTTGGGGTGCCGCACCTCCGCCTTCGGACGCTCCCGGCCGGGCAGCACGGTACTGTTTTCAGGGGTCCTCTGACGGGCACAGCCTTCCACGGCCAACGTTGGCCGCACCCACGAGCCCCTGGCGGGTGCTCCTGAGCTTGATCTTCTGACTGTGCGACGTCCCACCTGGGCTTCTGTTCCCACTAACCCCCTGGCGGGTGCTGCCTGCCCCGATGGTGAACCCAAGCTCCTCCTCCTCCCTGCCACTGCCCACTTCCCTGTCACCGGCATCCTTGACAAACCAAACTCGGGGGGTGGGGGCGTTCAGCGACCGCCGGCCTTGGGAACGGAACAGCATGCGTTCACGCCGTGGGTCCGGGGAGGCTCCCGTGTGACGATGGCGTGTTACACGTACTCTCACCGTGGGTCCGGGGAGGCTCCCGTGTGACGATGGCGTGTTACACGGCTCATGCTCTCACTGTAGGACCCAGCATGTACCTGGAGTGGGGCCGTGCAGCTGCTTGGCTGAGCTCTTCTTGCCGGAGCCACTGCCTGCGCCTCCTGCCCAGGGATTCTCGGGCCTTCTGTCCCCGGGCAACAGCAGGACAGCTCAGACCTTGTTCCCAGCCCAGGACAGCTGTGCTGCCTAGCCTGGCCCTCCCCGCCTGGGGAGTGACTCTCCCGCTCCCCACACACTGACTCAGCACACAGACGCCCCTCTTCACCTGTCCTGGTCACACAGACACTGTCCGGCGTCCCCACGGGGTCCTTCGGGTGGACGCACAGACCCTACACGGCACCACGCATGGCTGAAAGCGCCGTCCCCTACGCGGCAGCCCCGCTGTACTTGGAACTGACTTCAGCGTGGTGACAGCCTGGGCTCTGGGCGTCCCTGACGCACCTCCTGCTCTCACCGCCAGGGCACGTGCCGTTCCCCTCCCAAGGCCAGTGGTCACCAAAACCCTTGCAGCCTTTGGTTTGGCCAGGACGCTGCCCAGGATGCCACTCCCTGGGCAGTGGCAGGGAGAAGGCAGGGCTTGGGTTCCCCACCTGGCAGGGAGCTGCAGCAAGGGGGGTTAACGGGAAACAGAAGCCCGGGTGGGAACGTCCACACAGAAGACCAAGCTCAGGAGCATCCGCCAGGGGCTTGTGGACGCAGGGAGGGTGCCGGATCCTCCCCTCGCTGTGTTGCGCGGCATCCACCGTCACCCCTTGGCTGGTGGACAGAATGATCCCCACGTCCCCCAGCCCAGCCTTCCGAGCTCTGTGGAGACTCACGCCTCGCTGCAGCCGTGGCTGCAGGCGCCAGTGCCTGGGCTGCAGGTGTGGGTGCAGGCCCCAGCCGACGTCTCTCAGCGTCCGTTGAGGCCCGGTTGCTCGGCTGCAGTCATGTGTCTGAGTGAATGTTAGCCCACGTGAGCTCTGGCCTACTCAGACACCTGCACCTGCTGCGTTTCTGTGTTGACCCCTCCACACCAGTTCTCCCTCTTTGCTAGAGAGGGGATTTTTAAACCCACACGTGGGGCCTCTCATCTCCGTGTTCGGCTCCTCTGTGTAAACACCGACCTTTTTGACTCCTGTGTTTAGCCGTCCAGCGTGCGGTTTGCAGGTGTAGCTGGCAGCCCTCTACCAGCCCTCTCAGAGGGTCCCTGGGAGTCAAGTGCTGGGCCGAGAAGAATGCTCAGAGCTTGCAGCAGGCCCTGCCTTCCAGGGGGTGGCCGTCATCTGGGTGGGCGAGGGGCTCAGCTGGAATCCATGAGTGTGCGTCCCGGCCAAACCCCCCGTCCCTGATTCCATACCACAGCCTCCCGTGCTTCCGCCTCCCGCTGCAGAGTGGGGGCCGCTGCAGAGCGGGGGCTCCTGGGGGCACGGCTGTGCGTTGCAGCCCGTACTGAGCGTCCCTTCCGCCGGCCCCCTGCTGCTCCGGCACCTCCTCTGTGGCTTTGATCGTGGTGTCCGGTCCTGCTGCCGTGGGGGCGAGGGTCATTTCTGCTGGTCACCGCGCCCTGCCTGCTGTGCGCACCCTCTGCACATGCGGGGGTCTGCCCGAGGCTGGTGTCGCGAGAGGATGTGTCACGGTGCACGTGGCCTGTGTTCTCGGGGTACACTCACCTGCACCCATCAAGCGCACGCACTTCTACGCAAAAACAGGCAGCCTCAGTGTTAGGCTCAGCCTTTGTTTTTGGTCGTATATGGACGTGTTTTGCAAAACTGTGGGTGTACTCTGGAAGGGCGACACATGTATCTGTGACTTCTGGAATTGTGATGAGTCAGGGAGCTGCCTTCTCAGTGCCCTCAACAGAAATAGCTTGTTGGGAGTCAGGGTGTCGCCTTTATCAGTGCGCTTTGGGTGACGGGCTCTTTACGAAGTTCTTTTTAAAGTACACGTACTGAGGAGGATTTAAAGTGGATGACCTGGCCGCCACAGGCCCCTCTGGTTTGTCTGAACTTTTTAATGAACAGGCGGCTGGCTTTAGAATTCTTCTTCCACATACATGCAGCTGTTTTTGCTCCTTCTGTGTTTACCGTAGATGCCTGGCCTCACCGGCTACGTTTGGGGCAGGGCAGCAGTCCCTGTGATTCCTTCAGAACCCCCTGAGACCTGCAGCTCAGCCCGAGAGGTGGCCAGTTCCCAAGTGAGCTGTGTGTGTTGAAAAGAATGTGTGCTCTGCAGCTGTGCTGGGGCCGAGTCTATTTCTGTCCATGAGATTAAGCTTGTAAATCTTCTGTGCCCGCATGGGGTGGTTGTGTTGTTTGTTCCATCTCTCGTCTATTAGTGCCCATGGTGGGTGGTCCCGGCTTTCCCCCCGTCGGTGCCCAGGGTGGGTGGTCCTGGCCTTCCCCCGGTCGGTGCCCAAGGTGGGTGGTCCCGGCCTTCCCCCCGTCAGTGCCCGGGGTGGGTGGTCCCGGCCTTCCCCGTGTCGGTGCCCAAGGTGGGTGGTCCCGGCCTTCCCCCCGTCGGTGCCCAAGGTGGGTGGTCCCGGCCTTCCCCCCGTCGGTGCCCAGGGTGGGTGGTCCCGGCCTTCCCCCGGTCGGTGCCCAGGGTGGGTGGTCCCGGCCTTCCCCCCGTCGGTGCCCAGGGTGGGTGGTCCCGGCCTTCCCCCGGTCGGTGCCCGGGGTGGGTGGTCCCGGCCTTCCCCCCGTCGGTGCCCGGGGTGGGTGGTCCCGTCCTTCCCCCCGTCGGTGCCCAAGGTGGGTGGTCCCGGCCTTCCCCCCGTCGGTGCCCGGGGTGGGTGGTCCCGGCCTTCCCCCCCGTCAGTGCCCGGGGTGGGTGGTCCCGGCCTTCCCCGTGTCGGTGCCCAAGGTGGGTGGTCCCGGCCTTCCCCCCGTCGGTGCCCGGGGTGGGTGGTCCCGGCCTTCCCCGTGTCGGTGCCCAAGGTGGGTGGTCCCGGCCTTCCCCCCGTCGGTGCCCAAGGTGGGTGGTCCCGGCCTTCCCCGTGTCTGTGCCCGGGGTGGGTGGTCCCGGCCTTCCCCCCGTCAGTGCCCGGGGTGGGTGATCCCGGCCTTCCCCCCGTCAGTGCCCAAGGTGGGTGGTCCCGGCCTTCCCCGTGTCTGTGCCCAGGGTGGGTGGTCCCGGCCTTCCCTGTGTCTGTGCCCGGGGTGGGTGGGCTCCGCCTTGCCTAGCGGGCTCAGTTTGTGTCCAGTGGTGTTTACTTGATCAGTGCCGAGGCTGCGTTGTCAGGCATGGATAAAGTTAGCATCAGCCTGTCTTCCCCTGACTGACCTCTTCAGCGTTCCTTGGTGGCCTGTCTGTCTCCAGGTCTGTCCATCACCTTGTGTCACTTCATGGATGTTAATACAGCGACACCAGCTTTCTCTACTGTCTGCCTGCTCTTTTTCCATCTCAAAAAAAAATGTGTAGCCTCTGGGTCCTTAAGTCACATATATCTCCTGTCTTTCTGTCCTCTGTGTCTCCCATGTACGTGAATGCTGTTTTCTTTCTGCAGTCAGACCTTTGTCTTGTAACTAGAGCACTCGGTGCATTGAGGTCGATGTTGCCTGCTCATCCGTGTGATGGACTGTGACCGTCTCATCCTGCACCTCTGTCTCCTGCTCTTTTTCAGCTTGGTCGCCTTTTCTCTCGTTTGGAGTACACGCTTCCTACTAGCTCACTGTTTATCCTACAAATGTCAATGGCTGGCCGGGCACGGGGCCTCACACCTGTGATCCCAGCGCCTTGGGAGGCTGAGGCAGGAGAATCGCTGGAGGCCAGGAGTTCAAGACCAGCCAGCACAACATAGCGAGACCCCGTCTCTATAAAGAAAAAAAAAAGGAACGTCGACTAAATTTTTCAAAGCCCAATATTAATCAGTATCTTTTCCTCCAACTCACAAACCGTCTCACACTCATCCAGTCAGCATGTCACTGACAGGCTGTTGTATTGACTTTTTTTTTTTAATTGAACATACGTTGTTTTCACTGATTTATGTTTTTTAAATTGAACATACATTGTTATCACTGATTTATGTGGTCAGCTGCCGAGGTTTTCCCACTCATTACCGCTGACCTGCTCTTCATCCCTTCTTTCAATTCCAACCTTCCCTTTGGGAGCTCTTGGCTTCTCCCTGCTGCATTTCCTCAGCTTTTGCCCCGTAGAGTGTCTGTTAATGGGGTGCATGCTCTGTAAATTTGGGGCTAAAAATGTCCAAGTATTCATCTCACTTTTTTTTTTTTGAGACAGAGTCTCACTCTGTCACCCAGGCTGGAGGACAGTGGTGCGACCTCAGCTCACCGCACCCTCCGCCTCCCGGGTTTAAGCGATTCTCCTGCCTCAGCCTCTCAAGTAGCTGGGATTACAGGCATGCGCCACCACACCTGGTTAATCGTTTGTTTTGTTTTGAGACAGAGTCTCACTCTGTCGCCCAGGCTGGAGTGCAGTAGTGCGATCTCAGCTCACTGCAACCTCTGCCTCCTGTGTTGAAGCGATTCTCCTGCCTCAGCCTCTCAAGTAGCTGGGATTACAGGCATGCGCCACCACACCTGGTTAATCGTTTGTTTTGTTTTGAGACAGAGTCTCACTCTGTCGCCCAGGCTGGAGTGCAGTGGTGCGATCTCAGCTCACTGCAACCTCTGCCTCCTGTGTTGAAGCGATTCTCCTGCCTCAGCCTCCCGAGTAGCTGGGAGTACAGGCACCCTCCACCACACCTGGTTAATCGTTTGTTTTGTTTTGAGACAGAGTCTCACTCTGTCGCCCAGGCTGGAGTGCAGTAGTGCGATCTCAGCTCACTGCACCCTCCGCCTCCTGTGTTGAAGCGATTCTCCTGCCTCAGCCTCTCGAGTAGCTGGGAGTACAGGCACCCTCCACCACACCTGGTTAATCGTTTGTTTTGTTTTGAGACAGAGTCTCACTCTGTCGCCCAGGCTGGAGTGCAGTAGTGCGATCTCAGCTCACTGCACCCTCCGCCTCCTGTGTTGAAGCGATTCTCCTGCCTCAGCCTCTCGAGTAGCTGGGAGTACAGGCATGCGCCACCACACCTGGTTAATCGTTTGTTTTGTTTTGAGACAGAGTCTCACTCTGTCGCCCAGGCTGGAGTGCAGTAGTGCGATCTCAGCTCACTGCAACCTCTGCCTCCTGTGTTGAAGCGATTCTCCTGCCTCAGCCTCTCAAGTAGCTGGGATTACAGGCATGTGCCACCACACCTGGTTAATCGTTTGTTTTGTTTTGAGACAGAGTCTCACTCTGTCGCCCAGGCTGGAGTGCAGTGGTGCGATCTCAGCTCACTGCAACCTCCGCCTCCTGTGTTGAAGCGATTCTCCTGCCTCAGCCTCCCGAGTAGCTGGGATTACAGGCATGCGCCACCACACCTGGTTAATCGTTTGTTTTGTTTTGAGACAGAGTCTCACTCTGTCGCCCAGGCTGGAGTGCAGTGGTGCGATCTCAGCTCACTGCAACCTCCGCCTCCTGTGTTGAAGCGATTCTCCTGCCTCAGCCTCTCCAGTAGCTGGGATTACAGGCATGCGCCACCACACCTGGTTAATCGTTTGTTTTGTTTTGAGACAGAGTCTCACTCTGTCGCCCAGGCTGGAGTGCAGTAGTGCGATCTCAGCTCACTGCAACCTCCGCCTCCTGTGTTGAAGCGATTCTCCTGCCTCAGCCTCCCGAGTAGCTGGGATTACAGGCATGCGCCACCACACCTGGTTAATCGTTTGTTTTGTTTTGAGACAGAGTCTCACTCTGTCGCCCAGGCTGGAGTGCAGTAGTGCGATCTCAGCTCACTGCAACCTCCGCCTCCTGTGTTGAAGCGATTCTCCTGCCTCAGCCTCTCGAGTAGCTGGGAGTACAGGCATGCGCCACCACACCTGGTTAATCGTTTGTTTTGTTTTGAGACAGAGTCTCACTCTGTCGCCCAGGCTGGAGTGCAGTGGTGCGATCTCAGCTCACTGCACCCTCCGCCTCCTGTGTTGAAGCGATTCTCCTGCCTCAGCCTCTCGAGTAGCTGGGAGTACAGGCATGCGCCACCACACCTGGTTAATCGTTTGTTTTGTTTTGAGACAGAGTCTCACTCTGTCGCCCAGGCTGGAGTGCAGTAGTGCGATCTCAGCTCACTGCAACCTCCGCCTCCTGTGTTGAAGCGATTCTCCTGCCTCAGCCTCTCAAGTAGCTGGGATTACAGGCATGCGCCACCACACCTGGTTAATCGTTTGTTTTGTTTTGAGACAGAGTCTCACTCTGTCGCCCAGGCTGGAGTGCAGTGGTGCGATCTCAGCTCACTGCAACCTCCGCCTCCTGTGTTGAAGCGATTCTCCTGCCTCAGCCTCTCCAGTAGCTGGGATTACAGGCATGCGCCACCACACCTGGTTAATCGTTTGTTTTGTTTTGAGACAGAGTCTCACTCTGTCGCCCAGGCTGGAGTGCAGTGGTGCGATCTCAGCTCACTGCAACCTCCGCCTCCTGTGTTGAAGCGATTCTCCTGCCTCAGCCTCCCGAGTAGCTGGGAGTACAGGCATGCGCCACCACACCTGGTTAATCGTTTGTTTTGTTTTGAGACAGAGTCTCACTCTGTCGCCCAGGCTGGAGTGCAGTGGTGCGATCTCAGCTCACTGCAACCTCCGCCTCCTGTGTTGAAGCGATTCTCCTGCCTCAGCCTCCCGAGTAGCTGGGAGTACAGGCACCCTCCACCACACCCGGCTAATTTTTTTTATACTCTTTTTGTTTTTTGTTTTCTGTTTTTTTTTTTTTGTTTTTTTTTTTTTTAGTAGAGATGAAGTTTTGCCATGTTGCCCAGGCTGGTCTTGAACTCCTCAGCTCAGACAGTCTGTCCCCCTCAGCCTCCTTTCAAAGCGCCAGGATTGCAGGCACGAGCCCGGCCGGTTTGAGGGTTTTCGCAGCATCCTGGTGACCGTGAGTTTGGTTTGCAAACCTGCAGGAGAGTCGGCTGTAGCCGTCAGTTCTCGGGGGAGAACTCCCCCCTGCCCAGCTCGTACCAGCAGCTCCAGGTGAAGGCTGCTACTTTCATTCCTGGGGCCGGAGGCGCGCTGGGGATTTACTTGGAGCTCATTCTTCCCACTGAAGGTGACGCGTTCTGGGAGCTTCCCCGGAGGACCCTGCGTTTTGCCTCCTCTTCCCCAGAGCTCTGCAAGGCTGTGAGAGATTTCGGGTGAGCCCGCTCGGCCCACGCTTCTGAAGGCAGAGCCTGTTCAGGCTCCACGGGCTTCCCCGGGTTCTTCCTTCCAGGCAGCTGTGGCCTGAGGTGTCCTCCTTTCCTGCCAGCCTGTGGGCGCCGTCTAGAAGACGTTTGTCAACTATTCTGTCCAGGGTTCTTGGCAGTTTTCATCAGGAAGGTTGGTTTGTGTACCCAGGTCATTGCTATATTGCCAAACACAGGAGCCCGAGAGCTCACTGCAGAATATTCGCGGGGTCAGTTCCGTACCCCAAATAGCAGAGCTGTGTGAACCCAGCGTGATGAAGGAGGAAGAGCCGCAGGCTCCACAGTGGGACCCCCACAGCGAGAGACGGGAAGGCGCCGCTGCGGGAATGCGTTGTGGGCTCGGGAAGATGCACTGTGGGATCGCGGGCTTGGGGAGATGCATTGTGGGATGGTGGGCACAGGGAGATGACTGTGGGATGGTGGGCTCGGGGAGATGCATTGTGGGATTGCGGGCACGGGGAGATGCATTGTGGGATCGTGGACTCATGGAGATGCACTGCGGGATCGCGGGCTCGGGGAGATGCACTGCGGGATCGCGGGCTCGGGGAGATGCATTGTGGGATGCTGGGCTCGGGGAGATGCATTGTGGGATGGTGGGCTCGGGGAGATGCATTGTGGGATCGCGGGCTCGGGGAGATGCACTGTGGGATTGCGGGCTCGGGGAGATGCACTGTGGGATGGTGGGCTCGGAGAGATGCACTGCGGGATGGTGGGCTCGGGGAGATGCACTGTGGGATGGTGGGCTCGGGGAGATGCACTGCGGGATCGTGGGCTCGGGGAGATGCACTGCGGGATCATGGGCTCGGGGAGATGCACTGTGGGATCGCGGGCTCGGGGAGATGCAGGGACCTCCTGCCCCAGGACACAGAGGTCACGTTCTGAATCACAGGGAAGGGGTGTGCCCTTAGGTAAAGCTGTGCTGAAGGAGCACTCAGTCGGCAGCTACTGCGGGAAGCCTGCTCTGCCCCAGGTCACGGAGGCGGCCTCTGTTCCTCCTACATGGGGATCAGAGAAAAACAACTGAGTCTCACCGTGGGTGAGGGTCCTGCAGCGACAGCAGGGTGGGCACAGTTGAGGCGCTGTCAGTGGGACCCTTGTGACCTGGGGTGAGGGTCCTGTGGGAGTAGCAGGGTGGGGACAGTTGGGGCGCTGTGGGACCCTTGTGACCTGCGGTGAGGATACTGTGGCAGTAGCAGGGTGGGGACAGTTGGGGTGCTGTCTGTGGGACCCTTGTGACCTGGGGTGAGGGTCCTGTGGGAGTAGCAGGGCGGGCTGTTTTCTCTGTGTGGACACTGGAGCTTGGACCCAGTCCTGGATTGATCCAGGCAGTCAGGATTGTGGGTGCAAAGGCCCTGAGCTGTGGTCCACTGGTATGCGGACTTCCTCCCTGGACCCCTCCTCCATGGCAGTTGGTTGAGGAGGACACAGCCCCGTCCCCTGAGTAGTTGATGGAGGAGGAGGAGGACGCAGCCCCATTCCCTAGGTAGTTGGTCAAGGAGGACACAGCCCTGTCCCCTGAGTAGTTGATGGGGGAGGACGAAGCCTCGTCCCGAGTAGTTGATGGGGAAGGACACAGCCCCGTTCCCTGGGTAGTTGGAGGAGGAGGAGGACGCAGCCCCGTCCCTTCAGTAGTTGATGGTGGGGGAGGACGCAGCACCGTCCCTTGGGCAGTTGATGGAGGAGGACGCAGTACGGTTGCTGATGCTGTTAACTGTTTCAGATGGTGTTTTAACATCACGGGATGAGATCAAATGTCCACCTCGCAGGTTGTGTAGAGATGCAAGCAGGAGACTCTTGAGTGAGTGTTCTGGGGCCTGCAGATATACTGGGTGAGGAGAGTGCTGGTGCTGAGTGGGGCCAAGAGCCCGTGGGCGTGGGCTGTGCACCGGGTGAGGGGCTGAGGCGTGTCCGCAGCAGTACCTGGTGGTCGACCCCTTCTCCTGGCTGTGTGGTTGCCTGCCCTGCCTCTGCCTCTCAGAATGTGAGTCTTCCGGGCTCCAGGGACAGGGTTGCCTGTGGACGGCACCTGTGCCTCTCCACGTCTGAGCTCTCAGGCGTCTGGGGTGCGTGGCTGCCCTTTTCCCCAGGTCCCTGCCAGGTGTGGTGGGGTCAGTGGTGTGGCTCATGGGAATCGGGAGTGGGTCCTGGCTGGGCTCTCAGGTGCCTGGGGCACGTAGCTGCCCTTGTCCCCAGGGCCCTGCTCGGTGTGATGGGGGCTCAGTGGCGCAGAGCCGCCACCCAGAGTGGGGTCCATGGCAGCATGGTGTGGCCTCCTGGGTGAAGGTGGGCCCTGCAGTGGAGTACGTGTGTGGTCCCCCGCAGGGATTGCAGTGTGTCCTCTCCCGGCTGGGATCAGGTGGCCTCAGCACTGTCGGCCCTAGAGAGGCCCCGTGTGTTGTCCGGGTGAAGAAGGCGTTCGATGCTCCCAGGTTCTAACTGAGCGCTGTCTGTCGACTCTTCAGGTTCAGACACGGAAAGAAGAGCCTCTGCCCCCGGCCACGAGCCAAAGCATTCCGACCTTCTACTTCCCCAGAGGACGCCCGCAGGACTCCGTCAACGTGGATGCCGTCATCAGCAAGATCGAGAGCACCTTCGCCCGGTTCCCCCACGAGAGGGCCACCATGGATGACATGGGCCTGGTGGCCAAGGTACGTGTCACGCGTGGGACGTGGAGCAGCCGAGGTGGTACTGCGGGCATGTGAGGGTGAGGCGGAGCGGCCGTGGTGGGTGCGTGTCACACGAGCGTGAGTGAGGCGGCACGGCCGAGGAGGGTGCGTTTCACACGTGTGCGGGAGCGGCCCAGGTTTTCTCTGAGGTTATAGTTGTGGTCTGAGGTTTGCTGTCTGGTTGCTGCTGTGTGAATTCTTAAGCATCTGAAATGCGAGTGGGAATTCCGTCTGCATTCTCATCCTGATGCTGTGAAGAGCGCAGGCCCGCCCTGTGCCACCCTCCCCTTCTCTCCCCTCCGGGGCCAGTGGCGCCAGCTCTCGTGGCTCTCGGAGGCCGTTCTGCACCCTCCTGGCCTTGCCCCTTTCTGCCCGAGGAGCGGCCATCCCAGGCTGGGCAGCTGTGGACCCGTCTCCTGGCAGCAGCCCCATGGGCCCATTTCTAGACTCACCCTGAGTGCTGCGGCGCGGCGTGCATCATTCGCCGCCTGCTTTCCTTCTCAGCTGCATGCTCTCCAGGCTGACCGCCTGGACGCCCACAGATGGAGCACACTCAGTTTAGTGTCTGTCCGTTACCAAGGCAAGGCCTACACCAGAGATGCGTGTCTGGACCCCTGGTGGGTGGTTGTGTTTCCAGGGACCTGTGCCCGCATCTCCAGCCTCCTACCCTCCAGGTGGAGTCGCTGGCCAGTGGATGCTCCCACCCCTCCAAGTCAGAGCCCCAGAGCCTCGGTGCACGGTACATGTGAGCCCCTCACGGTGAGACCCCTGCCCCCCAGCCCTCTCCAGCTCTGCAGCTGTGAAGGGGGTCCTCGGGAGTGAGCAGGTTTTTGTTTTTTGGGTTTGCTTGTTTGAGACAAAGTCTTGCTCTGTCACCCAGGCTGGAGTGCAGTGGTGTAATCTCGGCTCACTGCAACCTCCACCTTCTGGGTTCAAGTGATTCTCCTGCCTCAGCCTCCCAAGTAGCTGGGACTATAGGCATGCACCACCATGCCTGGCTAATTTTTATATTTTTAGTAGACATGGGGTTTCACCATATTGGCCAGGCTGGTCTTGAACTCCTGACTTCAAGTGATCCGCCTGCCTCGGCCTCCCAAAGTGCTGGGATTACAGGCATGAGCCACTGCACCTGGCCGGGTTTTGTTTTTTTAACTTATTAATACAGTCTATTAAATGAGTTGGTTTTGGGATGTTAAACCAACCTTGCATTCCTGGGATAAATTCCGCATGGTCGCTGTGTCTCATCTTTTTTATATGTTGCTGGATTCCAATAATTTTGCAACTGGATTCACAGAGAAGACAGTGCTTGGTAGTTTTCTTGTGAGTCCTTTGTCTGGTTTTGGTTTTAGGGCAATACGGGTCTGAAAGAACACATTAAGTGTCCCCGCCCTTTTTCTATTAGGGATTGTGTTTTTAAAGTATTTTAAAAAGTTTTGTTTTATAAATATGTAAAAACCTCCATGGTTACAAAGTGAGCACTAACAAACTAGACACATTCAGGTAAGTCCAGGTTCTGTCCCTGTCTGTGCTGTTTCTACCCCAGAGGTAATAGTTTCCATAGCTTTGGTTTATCCTCTTATTGTTATTTTAGCTTTTAATATGAGCAATTATGTACAAATATGTGTATGAGTATGAACATACATACTTCTTGCATTTCTTAGAGAAAAATTAGCATGCTGTTGTACACTTGCATATTTGTTTTTGCTAAGTCACTCCGTATTTGTAGAGGTGTCCCTGTCTTGTACGGCAGTGTGGGGCCATGAAAGGACCAGATAAGTCACAACCATGCAAAACCATCTTCCAGTAAAAATTAGGATCATTCTATAATCATTTTTGTTGAAATATTAGAAACTTTCTTACAGTCGGTTGCAAACATGTAGTGAATGAAAAGAACTAATATTTACCTAGTATGCTGTAACTTAAAACACCAGAAGCATTAAGAATTGTTTCATCTCTCAGTAAAAACTTGCCAAAAGTAGTTACAGCAGTGCCATCTCCTTGTCCCGTGTGGAGTGAGCACCTGCTCCGTGCCCTGGCAGACTCACTCGACTTAACACGCCTTGCTCAGCTTCCGCGTTTTATCCTTGGTGCTCTTGAAGTTGTGGGGTATCTCTGAGAGTTCCTTCACTGGGAGGTCTCTTTGCTGGCATTCCGTCTGCTGGGACACCTTCATCCTTTTCAGTACAGCCTCCGTTGTGTGGAGAACTCACCCTCGCGGAGTGCGCCCGGCCCCACCCACAGGGTCTCTGCGCGCCTCGGGCTGGGTCAGACACCTCTTTTGCAGCTCACGCGCTGCGTCCGCTTCGGGTCCTACAAAGCCGCTCGCGCAGCCCAGTGAGGTTCCTGCATGGGACCCATGTATTCCCCTCAGTGCTTCCCCGCCACGATGCCCCTCCCCGGCCGCGGTGCTTCCCCGCCAGGGCGCCGCCCCGCCCTCCCCTACCCCCGCCGCGGTGCTTCCCCGCCAGGGCGCCCGTCCCCACGGTGCTTCCCCGCCACAGCGCCCCTCCCCACGCGGTGCTTCATCCCCACGGTGCTTCTCCCCAACGGCGCCTCCCCCCACCGTGGTGCCGCCCCCCACAGCGGCCACCCCCCCTCCGCGGTGCTTCCCCGCCTCGGCGCCTGGTTCTCATGTGCGCGTTTCATGTCATTTTCCTTCCAGGACTCAGTTCTCGGTGTCACCTCGCTTCCACGCACAGCGGCACTGGCCTTGGTGGCCGTCTAAGGTAGTGAGGCTTTAAGACTTGAAAGAACCTGGTCCGTTGGCTGGATGTCACGTTTGGTGGTAAAAAGCAAGTTTTGTCGTTGTCTTCGACGCCCCAGAGAAGCAGGGTGACCTGGGTGTGACCCAGCGGGGCAGGGGAGAGCTCTGAGACTGAAGTTGTGTCGCTTGCAGCGTCTGCACCGCTGGGAGTCCGAGAGACACCTCCACAGGCCCCACTGTGCCTGCACGCACCGACCCGGCCCTGCAGGCGGAGAGCATGGTGCTCGAGCACCCACCGTGACTGTGGGCAGAGGCCAGCAGGGTGTGCGCTGTCGCGACTTAATCCACCTGCGCTGTGGCGGCAGAACCCTGTGAGCGTCCCGCGTGTGTGGGGGCCGCAGGCAAACTTCAGCTTCCCCGCCAAGGCTGCTGAGCCTGTCTCGGTGGCGCCCAGCTCGCCGCCACCTGCAGATGTCCGTCCACGTCTCCATCGTGTGCCTTTGGGACGGTTTTCTGTGAGCCGGGCCCCCGGCCCAGGGGACGAACGAGTAGGGGTGTCACTGCCGTTTCGAGTTCTCCCCGTCGCGTGAGTGACTGAATGAGGGCCTGGAGTCACAGCTCCACACGCGTGTTGTCAGGCGGGTGGACTTTGGCCGGCGGCTGCTTGAGAACTCACGTCTGAGGGGACTTTGAGTTTGATGAGGGGGGTCCCCCCGTGGATCTTAGCCGTGGCCGTGCAGCGAGGTCCGTGTGTGCCTTCTCCTGGCCCGGTTCTTCCTGTCTGTGTGAGTCAGGGCTGATCTCATACATCATTTCCTCCCTTTCATCATTGTCACTCCTCTGTGTTTTCTCTGAAGCCGTTTGAGACAGAGTCATCAGCTCCTTCACCTCCACCAAACTCCACCCCCTCAGCTGCCCCCACAGGAAAACACACTTTTCTCTTTGTTAATTTCCTTCAAACGTTGTTGGCTAATTCAGGGTTTTCATTTATGGAGACTATTTTGATGATTTACATTTTTTCTAAAAATTTTTTGCGTAACTTAGAAATTTCTTGCTCTAAAGCTTTTCCTTGTCTTGTACGATTTACAAAATCTTGATCGTATCTGCATCATACATAGACACTTTCTTGACAGAATCATTTATTTCCGGTTCCTTTCTTGATCCGTCATGCTACACACTAACGTATATCTCTTTCAGTAAAGCAGCTGTCAGTGTTACAGATTATTTCAGTTCTTTCTCTCATGAATATCTATGGTCATCTTTTTTACATACACTTCCTTCTGTCATTTTTTTTAGTTTATTGAATAGTTTTTTGTTTGGCCAGCTGTATTGTCATATAATTACACACCCTAAGATTCACCAATTTTAAGTGTACAATTTGATCCATTTTGGTAAAGCACACACCTGGGTATCCATCCTCATAGGCAGGACCGGCCGTTTGTCACCTGCCGCGGGTGTCCCACGTGCCTCCTTTTGCACCTCATCATTCCCCTCTTTTCTCCCTGGCCCGGGCCAGCTGCAGATGTGCTTCCGGTCGCTGTAGCTTTGCCTCTCTTAGAATTTCACATGAGGACTCTTGGAGCATTTTGTCTGTGGTTTCTAACTTCTTCCTGGCAGCATCTTTATTTTAAATTTTATTTTGAATGGACAAGTAATATTTGTGTATACAGGGTACAGCAAGATGTTTCGCTATGTGTGTGTGTTGAGGACTGATTAAGTCCTGTGGTGTGGATACTGTGGGGCTCGCTGTGTGGCTGGCGAAGGCGTGGTTACCGTGGGGCTCGCTGTGTGGCTGGCGGGGTGTGGATACTGTGGGGCTCGCTGTGTGGCTGGCCAAGGCGTGGTTACCGTGGGGCTCCCGTGTGGCTGGCCAGGGTGTGGATACTGTGGGGCTCACTATGTGTCCCTGGCCGTATGGGCAGTTTCTTTTCTATCACTGAGTAGCTTCTGCTGTGTGTGTGCTCCATCTCTCCCCTGTTCCAGGGTTGATAGACGTCTGGTTGCTTTGGTTTTTGCTTCTTGTGAGTAAAGCTGCTGTGTGTCTGTGCACTGATTTACGCAGACATGCTTGCATTTTCCTGAGGTGATTAATACCGCAGAGGTGAGCTCTGCCTCATCTGGTGGCCACATGTTTAGTTTTGTAAGAAGCTATAAAACTGCTTCCAGGGCCCAGGAGTGGTGGCTCACTCCACTAATCCCAGCACTTCGGGAGGCTGAGGTAGGCAGATCACCTGAGGTCAGGAGTTCGAGGCCAGCCTGGCCAACATGATGAAACCACATCTCTACTAAAAATACAAAAATTAGCCAGGTATGGTGGCGGGCACCTGTCATTCCAGCTACTCGGGAGGCTGAGACAGGAAAATCGCTTGAACCTGGGAGGTGGAGGTTGCAGTGAGCCAAGATCGCACCACTGCACTCCAGCCTGGGCGACTGAGCAAGACTGTGTCTCTACGCAAAAAAACAAAAAACAAAAAACCCTGCTTCCGGGGTGGCCCTGAGTGACGCATTTCCAGGCAGCAGCGTTGACCCCTGCGGGCACGTGGCCACACGCTTTGCCTTTAGCCGTTCTGTGCGTGTGCAGGCGTCCCGTCCTGGCTGCACTCCTCATTTCCCTGATGTACGTGTTGACCACCTTACGTGTTTCTTTCTCATCAGTTTGCCTTTTTTTCATTTTGGGGCAGCTGTGTTGAGATATAACTGATGTGGGATGCATGGTGCGTGTGGAAGGTACAATTCAATGAGCTTTGACGTCTGTACCCACCCATGAAACTATCCACAGCACCAAGACAATAGGCGTCCCTGCATCCTTGCGCTTGAGCGGGCACGTGCGCTGGACTTTTCTCTGCTGCTTTCTGACGCGCACCTGCCCTCATCCCACGCTACCTCAGGCCTCCTTTCTGTCAATATAGATTAGCCGGAATTTTCTGGAATTTTATGTAAACAGAATCAGACAGCAGGCACTTTTTTTTATTATGGGAAAATTCACACAACAGAATTCACCACCGTAACCATTTGGAGCACAGAACTCGGAGACGTTTGTGGCATATACAGCACGGTGTTCCATGTGCGTGTGTGGAGGGCCGGATCGCGTGGTGTTCCGTGTGCGCGTGCAGTTCCACTTCCGGCTTTCTGGGGAACCTGCACGCTGTCTTCCCGAGTGGCTGCACCGTTGTTCGTTCCCACCGTGTGAATTTTAGAGCCGGTCCCTCCGTTGCTACGACAGCCTGCTGGGATTACATGGGCATCCTGTTGACTCCAGATGAACTTGGAAGAATCTTGACCATATTGAGGCTTCCGTCTCATGAACGCGGTCCAGCTCTCCCTTATTTCAGGCATCTTTCACTTCTTTCAGTACGCCTTGTAGTTTGGTCTTGTTCACGGTTCATCACATTGATACCCAAGCATTTCCTGTTTCTGATGACACTGTACGTGGTATTTTTTTACTTTAATATGATTGTCAATTGTGAATGTTGAGAAGCACTGTTAGGTTTTATATGTGGACTTTGCATTTTCTGACCAAGTTTAACTCAGTCATCGGCTCTACCAGCTCAACCTTTAAGTCCGGCAGAGTCTCTAACGCACGGTCAGGTCATCTTCAGGTGAGCACAGTTCAGCCTTTCTCTTCTCGTCTGCATCGGTGTCTCCTCCCTGACTTTCTGTACACAGGCTCGGCCTGCCAGTGCAGTGCTGGAGAGCCGTGGAGAGCACGCCCCTTCCCGCCTCGGGCTCAAGTCGTCCGTGACGCAGCGGCCCTGCCTGGCGTCCTTCATCAGACTCAGGAGGCCCCTTCCCTTTTGGTTTCTTGTTTGCTGGGAGCTCTTGTGTTTTTTTTGAGACAGGTTCTCATTCTGCCCCCGGGCTGGAGTGCAGTGGCATGATCTCAGCTCACTGCAGCCTCGACCTCCTGGGCTCCAGTGATCCACCCACCTCAGCCCTCCCGAGTAGCCGTGACTACTGGCACCCGCCACCACACCTGGCTGATTTTTTCTTTTTTGGTAGAGACAGGGTTCTGCTATGTTGCCCAGGCTGGTCTGGAACTCCTGGGCTGGAAGGATCCTCTTGCCTCAGCCTCTCATGGTGCTGGGATGATGACAGGCATGAGCCATCACGCCTGGCCTCAGTTTACTTTTTAAAATTATAAAAGTGCCTTGAAGTTTGTCCGGGATGCTAAATGTGTATTTCTGCGTGTATTGAGAGGGCAGTGAGGTTTTCCTTTGGTCCTGTAAAAGGTGAATGGACCTGACTGACGTCTGAGTGTGAAGGCAGCCCCGGTCCTTGGGTGAGCCCCCGGTCCCTGTTCCACCGCAGCGTGCATTGCCCGGCCACGCAGGGGTAGCGTCTGTGGTCATGAAGGACTGGTCTTGACCTGACTGACGTCTGAGTGTGAAGGCAGCCCCGGTGTTTGGGTGAGCCCCTGGTGTTTGGGTGAGCCCCCAGTGTTTGGGTGAGCCCCCGGTCCCTGGGTGAGCCCCCGGTCCCTGGGTGAGCCCCCGGTGTTTGGGTGAGCCCCTAGTCCCTGGGTGAGCCCCCGGTGTTTGGGTGAGCCCCCAGTCTTTGGGTGAGCCCCCTGTGTTTGGGCGAGCCCCTGGTCCCTGGGTGAGCCCCGGTCTTTGGGCGAGCCCCGGTCTTTGGGTGAGCCCCTGGTCCCTGGGCGAGCCCCTGCTCCCTGGGTGAGCCCCGGTCTTTGGATGAGCCCTGGTCTTTGGGTGAGCCCTGGTCTTTGGGTGAGCCCCTGCTCCCTGGGTGAGCCCCCGGTCCCTGGGCGAGCCCCAGTCTTTGGGTGAGCCCCCGGTCTTTGGGTGAGCCCTGGTCTTTGGGTGAGCCCCCGGTCCCTGGGCGAGCCCCGGTCTTTGGGCGAGCCCCTGCTCCTTGGGTGAGCCCCAGTCTTTGGGTGAGCCCCGGTCTTTGGGTGAGCCCCCGGTCTTTGGGTGAGCCCCCAGCCCCCGGTCCCTGGTCCACCACACAGTGTCACACTTCTCCTATGTGTTGGGTCCACATTGCCAGGCCTCGCAGGGGTTGCGTCTGCGCTCGTGAAGGACTGGCCTGCGGTCTCCTTTTCTTGTGATAGCTTGGTCTGGTTTAGCATCGGGGGGATGCTGGCCTCGGAGAGTTGCTTGGAAAATGTCCTTTAGAATTCACTTTTCTGGAGCCATTTGTTTAGAATGGGTGTTATTTTTATTTGAATGTTTGGTAGAACTCATCAGTGAAGCCATTTGGGATAGTTTTCTCTGTGGGAAGGTTTTTAATGACAGCATGAATTGTTTCAATAAACACAGGCTGTCTGTATCATCTTTTCTCTTTTTTTTTTGGAGACAGAGTCTTGCTCTGTCACCCAAGCTGGAGTGCAATGGCACCATCTCACCTCACTGCAACCTCCGCCTCCTGGGTTCAAGCCATTCTCCTGCCTCAGCCTCCTGGGTAGCTGGGATTACAGGCATGCGCCACCACACCCGGCTAATTTGTGTATTTTTAGGAGAGATGGGGTTTCACCATGTTGGCCATGCTGGTCTCGAACTCTTGACCTCGGGTGATCCACCCGCCTTGGCGTCTCAAAGTGCTGGGATGACAGGCCTGAGCCACCGCACCCGGCCACTGCCACCCACTTTTAGACCATCGGATCTCACAAGAACTCAGGATTACGAGACCAGCAAGGGGGCTGTCCACCCTCATCACCCAGTCACCCCCCAGCAGAGCCCTGCTCCAACACTCAGGATCACAGTTCCCCGTGAGACTTGGGTGGGGGCTCCGAGCCACAGCCCACCACTGGTTCATGTGACCCTGAAGACTCCTCCGGCTCCGCGATGTCACTCGCTCACATAGCTTGGCAGCGTTTTCACATCTTTACGTGTCTGCAGATCGTCCTCTTGTCCCGTCACCCGCCGAGGAACGCGTGCTGAACTTGCCGGCCGTGGTTGTGGCGTCCTCCTTTCTCCTCTCACACCTGTCGGTTGGTGTCGGCGTGCCCTGTGCGACTGTAGACGCTCGGGACTTTGTCTGCCTCGCGAGTCCCCCTCAGCAGCACCATCACGTGGGCCTTGGGGCCGGCGGTGTTTCCTGCTCAGGGAGCTACTCTGAGGTCAGCAGAGCCATAATGGAATAGGGTTCAGCAGTACACAGGCAGACGATCCACACAGAGCAAGGTGGGCAGACGATCCACACAGAGCAAGGTGTGTGAGTCCCACACGCATGTGCTGAGCGAGGGAAGCCAGGTCTAAAAGTCCGCAGATGGCCGGGTCCCGTTGCCGTGTCCTGGAAAAGGTGAACTGGAGCCACGGGGAGGAGGCCTGGGGGCCGTCGCCGTAGCGGACTGCGGAGGGGCCGAAGGGACTGTCAGGGCTGGCGGCCTCGTTCCCTGTCCTGGCCGTGCGGGTGGGCGTGCCGCCGCGTTGCCGGGCCCCACAAGGAGTCGGTCTTTCTGTGTGTCGATCACGAAAAGACTTTTAAAAGTCAGATCAGGGTATCTGATGTTTTATTCCCTTTCCCATAAGGATTTTGTGACATTCAGGTAAAACTGCTTTCCTTTGTATCTTTTGCATTTTAGAGTTGATTATCTCCATTTACTTTAGGATTATTTTAAATTATGAGCTAATTCATTTGGAGGTAATTTTCGGGTTTGGTGTGGTGGGGGGACTGTGTGCCCAGCACTCTCCCGCTCAGTTCTCATCCCCCAGACGCCGGGGGTGCAGCTGTCTCTGGTTGCAGTGTCATCCCTGTAGTCCCAGCACTTTGAGAGGCCAAGGCGGGAGGATGGCTTGCGGCCAAGGGTTCCAGACCAGCCTCGGCAACATAGTGAGACTTCACTGTAGAAATTAAAAAAATTACCCAGGCATGATAGCGCGCACCTGTGGTCCCAGCTACTTGGGAGGCTAAGGTGGGAGGATTGCTTGAGCCCGTGAAGTTGAGACTGCACTGAGCTGTGATCACACACTGCACTCCAGCCTGGGCAACAGCAAGACCGTGTCTCGAAAAACAAGTAGAATAAAAATGGATCACGCTGTGATCACACACTGCACTCCAGCCTGGGCAACAGCAAGACCGTGTCTCGAAAAACAAGTAGAATAAAAATGGATCACGCTGTGATCACACACTGCACTCCAGCCTGGGCAACAGCAAGACCGTGTCTCGAAAAACAAGTAGAATAAAAATGGATCACGCTGTGATCACACACTGCACTCCAGCCTGCAGGTCTGGACACATGAGACGCTATATCCTGCACGGCTGGATAGATCTGATGCTCCATCCCTGCCACCGGGTCATGACGGTGTGTCTTGCACGCGGTGAGGAGCACAGATGTGAAGGCTCACACATCCCCCCATCCCTGGGTGTTGAGCGCTTGGGGTTTGAAACCTGCACGGCCTGTGAGCCAGAATGGTCTCATGAGGTCAAAAACGTGGGACTAGCACTAGCCCAAGGACCCGGTGCTGCACCCGGCTCGTTCCCTCCCACCGCACCGGGACGCCCTTCCAGGTGGCCAGGGCTGAGCTCCGTCAGGATCCTCATCACGGGAGCCGGCACGTGCCTGTGCGTCCTGCGGGGCCCGGCCCCTCCAGCCGCACACGGCTGCCTTCAAGTCATCCACAGGTGCGCCAGCCGGAGCGCGTCCTTTCCCATAGCAGCACTGCAATCCCCGCTGTGGCGCGCAGCCCCCTCCGCAGTCCCCCACGCCCCCCCGTGGTCACTCCCGCCCTGCACCTGTCAGGACGACTCTGCCACAGTTTATTCCTCCAGTCCCTGCTCTGGCGTCCGGCTCCTCTCGCCTGGGGCACCGTGAACCAAGCAGCCGACGTCCCCATCCGTGCAGGCTCTCACGGGCACGGGCCCTCTTCCCACTGGTGTGCTTCTGGGAGGACAGATGTCCTGGCCGGGCCACGGGGCTTTACGCTCAGCCGCCCCGTGGGCCGCTTTCCCGGCAGCTGCGTGGCGTCCCAGTTCCCCCAGCAACGCGGAGGACACCCAGCTGCCTGGCAGCCTCGCGGGACCTGGCGTCTTCAGTCCTTTTTGTCTCAGCCGCGCGTGTCATGTTCTTGTTGCCACCTCTCCATGCCCCGTGAACCCTGCCCTCGCCGGCGCCAGTGCTGGGCGCTTCCCCTTGTCTACGGCCGCCGTGCACCCCTCTCCGGAGGGCAGTGCATGTCCACTCGGTCGTGTTCGGGCCTCTTTCTCACTGATGCTTAAAATTCTGCCTCTGAGTCCCTCGTCAGAATCTCGCCTTGCAGAGACATTTCTCCCTCTGTGTCATGTCCTGTCATGGTGTTCACCGTGCCGGTAGCTGACCCTGAGTCCTGCGCTGGGGCGGTGCAGCGGTGCTCCCTTCCTTCAGGGAGCGCACGTGTGGCCCGTGAAAGAAACCTTGGCCGCGGCAGAGCCGTGCAGCGTCCCTCGTTTCCTTCCAGGAGGGGCCGCTGTTTGGCCTTTCACCCTTCGGCCTGGGATCCCCTGGTATTCAGTTTGTGTGAAGTGTCTTTGCCTGTGGATATTCCACGGGGCTCTGTCCCAACTCACTTCCTTCCCTTGCTCTCTTAGGCCACCGGTGCCTGACAGAGACTGACTGAGTCTTCATTACTCTGACTTTACAGGAAGGGTTGAAACCGGGCAGTGGGACTCATATCCACCAACTTGGTCCCCCTGTGAGTTCTTTTGTGTTCCCTGGTAAGTTTTCACATGAGCCTGTCCGTGTATACTACAAACCCCAAAACAACAGGCCCTCGGTGCATGTGGATGGGGATTGCTGGACTCTGTGGGTGGGGATCGCGTGGACTCTGGGTCAACAGAGTCGTCTGGAGGAAACTGCAGTCTGTGAACTCAGCAGTGAGGTCCACCTCACCACGTTGAGGTCGTCTTTGATTTCACCCAGCCGTGCCCTGCAGTTTGCTTTGTAGACACTGTGTGTGATTTTTGTTCCATTTTTCGTAGGTTGATTTTTCATGCTCTTGATAGATGGCATTATTGAAGATTTTATTTTTAGTTGTTTGTTGCCAGTATATTGAAATAATTTATTTTTGCATATAGTCCTTGGATCCAGCAACTTTGCTGAAGATACTTATTAATTCCCGTATTTGGTAAGCATTTGGATTGTCTACACAGTGTGTTGCTTGTGAATCATGACGGTTCTGCCTCTTCTTACCCGTCGTCGTATCTTTCGGTCTTTCCCTTGCCTGCTGCCCTGGCTCGGCCGTCCAGGCGGCCTTGGTGGTGACACTGTCCTCTTGTTCCCAGCACAGGGAGGAAGTGTTCATGTGTCATCGCTGTCTGAGCAGCTGGGGTGTTTCGTAGAGGCCCTTTGTCTGAGCATTCAGGCTGCTGTCAAGAAACACCATAGCCCGGGCAGCTTGTCACCAGCAAGACATTTACTGTTCACAGGTCTGCAGGCTGGAAGATCTCGGTGTGGCAGAGTGGTGCCTGGTTCATCGACGGCGCCTTCCCGCTGCGTCCTCACGGGGTGGAAGGGGTGAGGGAGCTCTCTGGGGTCCCTCAGAAGGGGACTCATCGCATTCATGAGGCCCCACCTCCCAACACCATCGCCTCGGGGGAGAGGATTTCAGCACGTGGATCTTGGGGACCCAGGCATTCAGGCCATAGCACCCTTTATGAGAATAAGAGTGTCCCTCCTGATTCTGGTTTCCTGGTCTATTATTATTATTAGATATTCCTGTTCTATTATTGCCGAGTTGGACTTGCTACTGTGTGTTCTGTGTGGGATTTCTGCCTCTGCTCTCCAGTGATAACTGGCCTGTGACTTCCTGTGACCCTGACCGCGTCCAGGCTGTGCCAGCCTCGGAACAGGCACTGGGAAACGCCCCTCGTTTTTCTTCTCCAGGGGAACGCATGTGTGATTTCTTCCTTCAATGTTTGGTCGACTCATGGGAGCAGCCTTTGGGGGCTGGAATTTTCTTGGTGGGACAGTTTTAAATTATGGACACAATTTCTTGCAGAAACAGCTCTTTCAGATTTTCTATTGTAGTTTATTTTTTGACTTGTTCATCAGGGAGTCTGTTTCAGCAGTCATCTGACTTACAGGCATAAAGTGATTCATGAGCATCCACTATCTGATGTTTGTAGGATCTGTAGTTACAGCTGACATGGCTAATCTGTATTTGCTCTCTTTTTTTTTTTTTTGAGACAGAGTCTCTCTCTGTCACCCAGGCTGGAGTGCAGTGGTGTGATCGTGGCTTACTGCAACCTCCACCTCCCAGGATCAAGTGATTCTCCTGCCTCAGCCTCCCGAGTAGCTGGGATTACAGGCGCCCGCCACCACGCCAGGCTAATTTTTGTGTTTTTAGTAGAGACGAGGTTTCACCATGTTGGCCAGGCTGGTCTCGAACTCCTGACCTCAGGTGATCCACCCCCCTCGGCCTCCTAAAGTGCTGGGATTACAGGCATGAGCCACCGCGCCCAGCCAGGGTTAATTAATTTTTAAGAAATCTTTCAAATCATCGAGTTTTGATTTTGTTGATTTTCTGTTACTATTTACTTTGCGTTCCATCTCTGCCATGTATTTGTTCCTTTGGGGTAGAAGTGTAGACGATCGATTTTAAACTTTCCTTCCTCACGCGTGTATTTAAGGCTGTGAACCTGCCATGGGTCGCTGCTGTAGGTGCGTCCCACACATTCCATGAGATGTTTCTGTCGCCGTCCGATTCACCGCGTTGCCTGGCTGACGGGGCCATTTATTCCCGTACTTACTGGTTCTTAGTACGTGCCGCGTGATTTCCAGACGCTGGGGATGCAGCCGCCTCTGGTTACAGTGCCCACGCGTGGTCTGTGGTCAGGGGATACTGCGTGCCCGGCACTCCCACGCTCAGCTCTCATGACTGATTGAAGGCTGGAGCGAAAGCCACGTTGAGTTTGCAGATGCCCGGACAGGCCGCGCTGAGCGTGCTGTGTCTTTCTGCAGCAGAGGGTCTCTGGGCGGCGTCGGTCAGGCGCGAGGTACGCAGCAGGAGCGCCGGCGTCCAGGCCCTGCTGACTGCCCACTCCTGCCCTCTCTGCCCCAGGCCTGCGGCTGCCCCCTCTACTGGAAGGGGCCGCTCTTCTATGGCGCCGGCGGGGAGCGCACGGGCTCCGTGTCCGTCCACAAGTTCGTCGCCATGTGGAGAAAGTGAGTCCTGGGCTGGGCAGGGGGCTGTGTCGGGAGGGCGGAGGCGTCCCCGGGTCCCCGTGGTGCCAGGACGGGTGCCCCCTGAGGCTGCCGCAGTGAGAGGAGAAACCCTTGTACGGGCACAGGCCTGGCCGTCGTGTGTGGCCACCTGCCACGCACCACGTGGAACACCACACACGTGTTCCACCCTGCGTCTGCGGGGTCGAAAGCCACCCCCCTGTGAGGGTGGTGCCCAGTCATCCTGTCCTTCCAGAATCCTCCAGAACTGCCACGACGACGCGGCCAAGTTCGTCCATCTGCTCATGAGCCCCGGCTGCAACTACCTGGTGCAGGAGGACTTTGTCCCCTTCTTGCAGGTGAGAGCCTGCGTCTACACCACAGGCCTTATCCTTCACGGGAGGGCCGGCGTCTACACCACACGCCTCATCCCTCACGGGAGGGTCCGCGTCTACACCGCACACCTCATGGGAGGGCCCGCGTCTACACCACATGCCTCATCCCTCATGGGAGGGTCCGCGTCTACACCGCACACCTCATCGCTCACGGGAGGGTCCGCGTCTACACCGCACACCTCACGGGAGGGCCCGCGTCTACACCACATGCCTCATCCCTCACGGGAGGGCCGGCGTCTACACCATACGCCTCATCCCTCACGGGAGGGCCGGCGTCTACACCGCACACCTCATCGCTCACGGGAGGGTCCGCGTCTGCAGCGTCCACACCGCACACCTCACGGGAGGGCCGGCGTCTACACCACGCGCCTCGTGTCTTCCCACCCGCAGGACGTGGTGAACACGCACCCGGGGCTGTCGTTCCTGAAGGAGGCGTCCGAGTTCCACTCGCGCTACATCACCACGGTGGGTCCCCAGCGGAGGGGCCGTCGGTTCCAGCGCGGGGCGCGGGTGTTTCTGCAGCAGCCGCCGCGGGGCTTCTGCGGACGGGGCGGGCGGGGCCCGGGGTTCCTGAGCTTCCGGAGGAGGCGGCCGCGCTCTGGGAGAGTCTCCACCCGCCCGGGAGCCCGGTGTTGGGGGGACTCTGGTTTTCCGGGGTGGCCGCACCCCCTTCCCACCTGTCCTGGGCCCGTGTAGCTCCGGGGCGTCCCCGGCCAGACCCTCCCCGCTTTCCGCGGCCTGGGGCGGCGCCTCCCGCAGGGCCCTTCCCTCTGCCCCCGCCTGTGCCCTGGCGGCCCCGTGCGGCTGAGACCAAGGGCGCGCCCCTCTCCCGGCTCCCGGTCTCCGTGCGGGGCGAGGCTCCTGGGGGTCTCTGCGCACCCACCGCACTGACAGCGCCCCCGCAGGTCATCCAGCGGATCTTCTACGCCGTGAACCGGTCCTGGTCCGGCAGGATCACCTGCGCCGAGCTGCGGAGGAGCTCCTTCCTGCAGGTGCGGAGCGGCCCCCTGTCCCCTGCCCCCTGCCTTGTCCCTACCCCTCCTACCTCCACTCCCTTCCCTTCCCCCTCTCTCCTCCCTCCTCCCCCCTCCCTCCTCCCCTCCCACCCCCTCTCCCACCCCCACCCCCACCTCCACCGCGCTCCCAGCCCACCCCCAGGCCTGTGAGCACTGGAACCCCGCCGCCTGCGGTTGGGGGTCCACGGTTGATCTAGGAGGCGGGTGGGGCCGTACTGGGCACCACCCTGAGGGGGAGCCGAGCCCTGACTCCCCCAGAGCTGCCCCCACCCCCACACCCGCCTAGGGAGCCGCCCCCATGCTGGAGCTCCCCCCACCGCAGAGTTGCCCCCACTCGGAGTGCCCCCCGGCCCCAGCTGCCCAGTCCCCCCCACCCACGGAGCGGCCCCGACCCTCCCAGCCTTCCCTGCCCCGCCCGCAGCCAGGCGGACTTGGGGCATCCCCGCAGAGGCCCCGCGCTCAGGCCGCCTGGGTCCTTTGGCAGAATGTGGCGCTGCTGGAGGAGGAGGCGGACATCAACCAGCTGACCGAATTCTTCTCGTACGAGCATTTCTACGTCATCTACTGCAAGTTCTGGGAGCTGGACACGGACCACGACCTGCTCATCGACGCGGACGACCTGGCGCGGCACAATGACCACGGTGCGTGGGGGCACAGGGGCGGGCGGGCCGCGCGGACACCGAGCACACCCTTCTCTCAGGGCCTGCGGGTCTGCAGCTGCCTCTCCTTCCGCACTCCCCGCTCTGTGTCTGCAGCTGCCTCTCCTTCGCACTCGCCGCTCTGTGTCTGCAGCTGCCTCTCCTTCCCCAGTCGCTGCCCCGTGTCTGGGTCCCCGTGTGCGCCTCTGCCCGAGGCCTCTGCCTGGGGGCGTCTACAGGGTCAGTGTGGGCCGCTGGTCCTGAAGCTCTTGGCCCGAGGGCCAGCAGCGCTGTGGGGCTTCCTTGTTAACACCCGAGCAAGGGCGGGCAGGCCACACGCCTTCCCTCAGGAGCTCCAGGTTCCAGCCCCCAAGGCCTGGAGCAGTTTCCATCCAATCCCGGGCTAGGTGGAGCCCCAGGCTTAGCGGTCGTTCATATACCTCCACGGGAGCCGGTGCCGCCCAGGTGTCCTCACAGCAGCCACCGCCTCCCGGCCCCTCTAAGAGTCATCCACACTTGCAGGAACTCAAAGCGGCCTGTGGCCTGTGGGGCTTGAGTTTTCTAAAGGATTCCTTTAAGTGTGCTTTTTACCCCAAAAAACCATATGACCAAGACTGTTTCCGAATTACGGTGGCATCTGTTGTGTGTGGTCGACTCATAATACGCCTGGTTCCCCGAACGTGAGCTGCACCCGTCTGCGTCTCCCGGGGCTGGTCCTGGGTCGCGTGGCCGCAGTAGATCCCTGCGTCGGACGCGCACCTGAGCAGACGTAGCATTCCCTGGATTTGTCCTGCGCTCAGTTCAGGGAGCCACCTGCGCCCTGGGCCCCTAACTAGCCACGAGGAGAGCACAGCTCCACAGCGCCGGCCCGTGTGGCCTGGGCCAGCACCTGCACAGCTGGGAATCGGCCCAGAACCAGGCGCTCACTGTCCCTGTGAACCCCCGGCCCGGCGCGGCCCCAGCTTTCCGCGTTCCTCTGGAGCCCACTCTCGGTCCCAGGGCAGGATGCCGTGTGCGGCCGGGCTGCGCTGTTTCTCACGCACTGCGGCCTGAAGCGGGGGGCGGCACCTTGGCTCGTGCGTCCCAGGGACACCGGTGACCGCAGGGATGGCCGCCCAGGCTGCGGGACCTTCTCGTGGCCCGAGCTGACAGCGACGGTGCTTTCACTCCTGCCTCTCATTGGTGAGGTCTCCCTCCCGCCTCCCGTTGGTGAGGTCTCACTCCGGCCTCCCGTTGGTGAGGTCTCACTCCCGCCTCTCCTTGGTGAGGTCTCACTCCGGCCTCCCGTTGGTGAGGTCTCACTCCCGCCTCCCGTTGGTGAGGTCTCACTCCCGCCTCCCGTTGGTGAGGTCTCACTCCCGCCTCCCGTTGGTGAGGTCTCACTCCCGCCTCCCGTTGGTGAGGTCTCCCTCCCGCCTCCCGTTGCTGAGGTCTCACTCCCGCCTCCCGCTGGCGACGTCTCCCTCCCGCCTCCCGTTGGCGACGTCTCCCTCCCGCCTCCCGTTGGCGACGTCTCCCTCCCGCCTCCCGTTGGCGACGTCTCCCTCCCGCCTCCCGTTGGCGACGTCTCCCTCCCGCCTCCCGTTGGCGACGTCTCCCTCCCGCCTCCCGTTGGCGACGTCTCCCTCCCGCCTCTCCTTGGCGACGTCTCCCTCCCGCCTCTCCTTGGCGACGTCTCCCTCCCGCCTCCCGTTGCTGAGGTCTCCCTCCCGCCTCCCGTTGCTGAGGTCTCCCTCCCGCCTCCCGTTGCTGAGGTCTCCCTCCCGCCTCCCGTTGCTGAGGTCTCCCTCCCGCGTCTCCTTGGTGAGGTCTCCCTACCGCCTCCCGTTGCTGAGGTCTCCCTCCCCTCTCCCGTTGCTGAGGTCTCACTCCCGCGTCTCCTTGGTGAGGTCTCACTCCCGCCTCCCGTTGCTGAGGTCTCACTCCCGCCTCCCGTTGGCGAGGTCTCACTCCCGCCTCCCGTTGGCGAGGTCTCACTCCCGCCTCCCGTTGGCGAGGTCTCCCTCCCGCCTCCCGTTGGCGAGGTCTCACTCCCGCCTCCCGTTGGCGAGGTCTCACTCCCGCCTCCCGTTGGCGAGGTCTCCCTCCCGCCTGCCGTTGGCGAGGTCTCCCTCCCGCCTCCCGTTGGCGAGGTCTCACTCCCGCCTCCCGTTGCTGAGGTCTCACTCCCGCCTCCCGTTGGCGAGGTCTCACTCCCGCCTCTCCTTGGCGAGGTCTCACTCCCGTCTCCCGTTGGCGAGGTCTCCCTCCCGCCTCCCGTTGCTGAGGTCTCCCTCCCGCCTCCCGTTGCTGAGGTCTCCCTCCCGCCTCCCGTTGCTGAGGTCTCCCTCCCGCCTCCCGTTGCTGAGGTCTCACTCCCGCCTCCCGTTGCTGAGGTCTCCCTCCCGCCTCCCGTTGCTGAGGTCTCCCTCCCGCCTCCCGTTGCTGAGGTCTCACTCCCGCCTCCCGTTGCTGAGGTCTCACTCCCGCCTCCCGTTGCTGAGGTCTCACTCCCGCCTCCCGTTGCTGAGGTCTCACTCCCGCCTCCCGTTGCTGAGGTCTCACTCCCGCCTCCCGTTGGCGAGGTCTCCCTCCCGCCTCCCGTTGCTGAGGTCTCCCTCCCGCCTCCCGTTGCTGAGGTCTCACTCCCGCCTCCCGTTGCTGAGGTCTCCCTCCCGCCTCCCGTTGCTGAGGTCTCCCTCCCGCCTCCCGTTGCTGAGGTCTCACTCCCGCCTCCCGTTGCTGAGGTCTCACTCCCGCCTCTCCTTGGCGAGGTCTCCCTCCCGCCTCCCGTTGCTGAGGTCTCACTCCCGTCTCCCGTTGGTGAACCTTTGGTTGAAACGTGTTTGTTTCCGTGATCACACTCGAGGTCTCTCTCTCCGTCTGAAAGCTGTACCTTTGAGGCCTGAATATTCTGCTCTTTACAAGTCGGTCTTGGAGCCGCGGTCAGCTTTGCGCTCTGTGGATTTCATGCTGGACTTGGCTCTGCTCGACGGGAAAGCGTGGTGGGCCCCTAGGATGGGCCGTGCAGGGGCATCGGGGCCCCGGGGCTCTCCCAGACCCAGGCGTCCTCTCAGCTTTTCGGTCCCCACCGCATCCAGTCTCGGCTCCGGGGGGTGGTGACGTCGGGGCCGAGGCACGGTGCGGGCTGCCCATCAACCGCATTCCTTTCCAGCCCTTTCTACCAAGATGATAGACAGGATCTTCTCAGGAGCAGTCACACGGTACGTACGGCTCAGGCGCCTGACGGCAGCCATTGCCCCTGCGAGGACCCCGGTCCCTCTCCTCATCGTTGCCTGACGTGAGCTCTTTGTGCCCCGACAGCGAGTGGTTGTCACCCCAGGCCCTGGCGAGGGGGGCACGTGTCTCTGTCACGTGAATCCCTAGTGGGGGGGGTGGCACAAGACTGTCACGCGAGGTCTGAGGAAGGGGGTGGCCCAGGCCCCAGGTCGGGGGTTCTTGTCGGGCGCTGGGCCTGAGTGAGCAGTAACGAAGGTGCACTCCTGACCCTGCCTGGATCTGGGGAAAACCCTCTGGCCACGGGGCCTCCACCTCCTCCCCGGAGAGGCAGGAGGAGGGGCAGGAGGGGGGCAGGAGGAGGGCCGGGCCCGGGGGGCTCCCCTCACCGAGGCGCGTGGACAGGGGCTCCGTTCCTGTGAAGCTCTCCCTGACATGCATCTTCGTCTCTCCATCCTGGCTTTGGATCTAGAGGCAGAAAAGTGCAGAAGGAAGGGAAGATCAGCTATGCCGACTTTGTCTGGTTTTTGATCTCTGAGGAAGACAAAAAAACACCGACCAGGTGGGTTCCTGCTGCGGCATGCGTTTGTCCCAGTGGAGGGGCCGGGAGCTGCCCATGTGACATGTGTCCCCAGGCGGATGCCTGCACGCCTGGTGGGGGCTGCACGGCACAGGGGGACATGTGCACGCCCGGTGGGGGCTGCACGGCACAGGGGGACGCGTGCGCGCCCGGTGGGGGCGGCAGGGGGCAGGGGATGCCTGCACGCCTGGTGGGGGCTGCAAGGCACAGGGGGGACGCGTGCACCCCCGGTGGGGGCTGCCCCAGGGGCTGCAGGTCACGGGCTGGGAGGGCCCAGGGCAGGGGCTGACAGAGCTCGCCGTGCCGCAGCATCGAGTACTGGTTCCGCTGCATGGACCTGGACGGGGACGGCGCCCTGTCCATGTTCGAGCTCGAGTACTTCTACGAGGAGCAGTGCCGAAGGCTGGACAGCATGGCCATCGAGGCCCTGCCCTTCCAGGACTGCCTCTGCCAGATGCTGGACCTGGTCAAGCCGAGGACTGAAGGTGATGCCCCGTGAGGGCATGGCCCAGGGTGAGGGGACGGACGGGTGAGAGGACGGCCCAGGGTGAGGGGACGGACGGGCGAGAGGACGGCCCAGGGTGAGGGGACGGACGGGCGAGAGGACGGCCCAGGGTGAGGGGACGGACGGGCGAGAGGACGGCCCAGGGAGAGGGGACGGACGGGCGAGAGGACGGCCCAGGGTGAGGGGACGGACGGGCGAGAGGACGGCCCAGGGAGAGGGGACGGATGACGGCCAAGGGAGAGGGGACGGACGGGAGGGAGGACGGCCCAGGGAGAGGGGACGGACGGGAGGGAGGACGGCCCAGGGTGAGGGGACGGACGGGAGGGGGGACGGCCCAGGGTGAGGGGACGGACGGGAGGGGGGACGGCCCAGGGTGAGGGGACGGACGGGAGGGGGGACGGCCCAGGGTGAGGGGACGGACGGGCGAGAGGACGGACCAGGGTGAGGGGACGTCCCTGTGAGGTGCTGTCCTACTGAGTTTGTGAGGAGGGCCAGCACCACAGGTGCCTAGTCTCACAGTGCAAGAACCTTCTATTCGGGGCGTCGACACCCCCCGAGGGGTGACCTAGAGAACCTAGGGCCGGAGCTCACCGGGGACGTTGGCACTGGGCTGAGGGAGCAGTTGCCATGTTCGTGCTGATGCCGCACAAGGCGGTCCTCCCCTCACCCCCCCCCGTCTCCTCCCCTCTCACCCCCCCCCCGTCTCCTCCCTTCTCACCCCCCCCCGCTCCTCCCCCCCTCTCGCCCCCCCCATCTCCTCCCCTCTCACCCCCCGGCTCCTCCCCTCTCAGCCCCCCGGCTCCCCCCCTCTCACCCCCCCGGCTCTTCCCCCCCTCTCACCCCCCCCGGCTCCTCCCCTCTCACCCCCCGGCTCCTCCCCTCTCACCCCCCGGCTCCTCCCCTCTCACCCCCCCCCCGGCTCCTCCCCTCTCACCCCCCCGGCTCCTCCCCTCTCACCCCCCCCCCGGCTCCTCCCCTCTCACCCCCCCGGCTCCTCCCCTCTCACCCCCCCCGGCTCCTCCCCTCTCACCCCCCCCGGCTCCTCCCCTCTCACCCCCCCCGGCTCCTCCCCTCTCACCCCCCCGGCTCCTCCCCTCTCACCCCCCCGGCTCCTCCCCCCCTCTCACCCCCCCCGGCTCCTCCCCTCTCACCCCCCGGCTCCTCCCCTCTCACCCCCCCCCGGCTCCTCCCCTCTCACCCCCCCCCGGCTCCTCCCCTCTCACCCCCCCGGCTCCTCCCCTCTCACCCCCCCCGGCTCCTCCCCTCTCACCCCCCCCGGCTCCTCCCCTCTCACCCCCCCGGCTCCTCCCCTCTCACCCCCCCGGCTCCTCCCCTCTCACCCCCCCGGCTCCTCCCCTCTCACCCCCCCGGCTCCTCCCCTCACCCCCCCCGGCTCCTCCCCTCACCCCCCCGGCTCCTCCCCTCACCCCCCCGGCTCCTCCCCTCTCACCCCTGTTCCCCCCACACCATCTCCCCAGCTCCTCCCACCCACCCCCGTGCCCTCTAAGGCAAAGGGGAGCCCCACCGTCCACGCCGCCTGGCTTCCTTCTGCATCTCAGAATCCAGCTCTGGGACTTTCACTTTGGAAATGGCTCTGAGGCCCGGGCACCGCCCTGCAGCCCTGCCCCCCCCCCCGGCCATGGGGCGCCTCCTGCTGCTCAGTGTCCCCGGGACACCCTCTGGCCTCTGCCTGCACGGGGAGCTCCGTTCTCTGTAATTTCAGATCCAGCAGCGCCCCTGCTGGCCGCGCCTCCCTGCGCCACGTCCCAGTCCACGCGTCCTTGGGGCACCGGTGGCCCCTAGTCGCCTCCGCATCACGGCCTCCCACGCCTCAGTCCCCACCCAGAACCGGGACACTCGCGTGTCCGCCTTTCACGTCAAACACGTGGCGTGAGAGCCCGGAGCTTCGTGCCGCGTCCTTAAGCACGTGTGACAGGACGCGCGCACCCCACACCCAGGCCCCGAAGGTGAGACCGGGCTCACGCGCCTTGGACGCACTCCCCTCCCCACAGGGAAGATCACGCTGCAGGACCTGAAGCGCTGCAAGCTGGCCAACGTCTTCTTCGACACCTTCTTCAACATCGAGAAGTACCTCGACCACGAGCAGAAAGAGCAGATCTCCCTGCTCAGGGTGAGTGCGGCGGGCACGCGGGCCGGGCCGCTCCACGCCGTGTACGTAACCCGTGTGCTTCCTCCAGGACGGTGACAGCGGCGGCCCCGAGCTCTCGGACTGGGAGAAGTACGCGGCCGAGGAGTACGACATCCTGGTGGCCGAGGAGACCGTGGGAGAGCCCTGGGAGGACGGGTGAGTGGGGAGGACGGGTGAGTGGGGGGACGGGTCAGTGGGAGGACGGGTGAGTGGGGAGGACGGGTGAGTGGGAGGACGGGTGTGTGTGCAGCCGGGGGATGCGGGGCCAGTCAGGTGGGGTGCGCGGACACAGAGGGGCGGGGTGAGACCTGACACGGGGCCGGTGAGGTAAGGACAGCCGATGACAGGGCCGGGCCTCGGTGCAGTCTGCCCGTCATTCCCCGCGTGGGGTTCTGTGATCCTGGGCGCGAGGCTTCGCACATCAGGCCCAGCACGGGGAGGCCGAGTTGTGTTTCGCCAACGACGTCTGTCCTTATCCCATGGCTGGCACCTGCTGGGCAGGCTGCAGGGCCCGTGGCCATTCCAGCCTCCGCTTCGGCCTTCCAGCCTTGGAGGCCCTGAGAGGCCCTGGGCTGGTTGCTTTCTCACGGAGCGTGAGGGTTCTTCGTGTCTTCAGGATACAAACCCTTTATTTGCGACGTGTTCGCCTTTTTCCCAGTTTGTGACGTATGTTTTCACCCCCTCTTCACGTGGTGTCTCAGAGATGTTCTGAATTTGGAGGAGGAGACACTGACTGGTTATTTTTACAGCGGTGTTTCTGGTGTCATATCTAAGAATTCATTTCTGAATCCAAAGCCACGAAGATTTTCCTCTGCGATGTTTTGCGTTTTGGTCTGGGGTCCTCTTGAGTAACCTTCCCTGTGGGGTGTGAAGCTTGGATTGAGGTTCCCCTTGTGGTATGTGGGTGTCCGGGTGTCCGACTGTCCCAGCATCAGCTTTGCAGGCCGCAGCGTTGCCTCGGCGTCGTGACTGTGCCGTGTGCGGGCTCCGTTCCGGAACCTTCCTCCGTCCCACTGCTGCACGTGTCTGTCCGTTCCCGCGGCAGAGCTGGCTGCGGTGAGAAGCCTCCGACTTGGGCGCCGTGTGGAACTGTCGGGGCCATTCTGGTGTTGGGCTGCCTGTGTGTGAATCTTAGACTCAGCCCGTCCTTGCTCTGCCGTCCTGTGGGAACGTGTGTTGGACTCTGACGTGGTGGTGAGCGCTGGTCCCGGGACCACGTGGACTGTGGCCCCCACCGGCCTCCCGTGGTGCACGCTGGAGCGACGTGGTCACTTTTGCCATCCCGTGCTGAGCTTCTCAGTTCTGCTTCTGTCCCGCGCTACGTTGGCTATTCTGGTTTCTTTGCCTTTGTATGAAAACACATAAGAATAAGCTTCTTCTGGCCGGGCGCGGTGGCTCACGCCTGTCATCCCAGCACTTTGGGAGGCTGAGGAGGGCGGATCACGAGGTCAGGAGATCGAGACCATCCTGGCCAACATGGTGAAACCCCGTCTCTACTAAACAAAAAAAAAATTAGCCGGGCGTGGTGGCGGGCGCCTGTAGTCCCAGCTACTCGGGAGGCTGAGGCAAGAGAATGGCGTGAATCTGGGAGGCGGAGCTTGCAGTGAGCCGAGATCGCGCCACTGCACTCCAGCCTGGGTGACAGAGCGAGACTCCGTCTCCAAAAAAAAGAAAGCCAGGGATGGTGGCACACGTCTGTAATCCCAGCTACTCGGGAGGTGCAGGTTGCAGTGAGCCAAGATCGCGCCACTGCACTCCAGCCCGGGCAACGAGAGCAAAACTCCATTTCCAAAACAAAAACAAACAATCTGAACTTTTGAGTGAGATCTCGCTGAGTGAATGGATCCCTGTGGGCCCAGCTGCCGCCTTCATAACCGCAGGAGGGCCCAGTCCATGGGCGCCGTCCGTGTCTCTCGGCAGGATTTTTGTAGCTTTCCGTGTACGCTTGATGCGAATGTTGTGAGACTTCTGAGTGTTTCCTGATGTTTTCCTATCGTCAGCGGTGCTTTTAAGGTTCCCGTTTCCAGTTGTTCGTTGGTAGCATATAGAATTTATTGACCTTGTGTTTTGCACCTTCATGAAACTCACTTACTGGATCTCAAAGCTCTGTCGGTTCTTTGGGGTTTTCTGCGTGGACAGCCCATGTCTGTCAGTGGGTCCGTCTCTCGTCTTCCTTTTCACCCCTCTGTGTACGTTACTTCCTTTCTCTTGCCCGCTGCATGGCCTGGAACCCGCAGGGAGATGTGGTGGATGTCAGGGCAGACCACGGCCAGCCTTGAGTGAGCCCTGCTGGTTTGTGTGCCGTCCTCGTTCCCAGTCCTGGGGGACGTCTCCCCTCACGCAGCGGTAAGCACGCTCATTGGCGAGGATGTTCTCCCTCTTCCTGGTCTGCGGGGGCTTTCTCGCAGTGGGGGCCGAATTTCTCAGATGCTTTCGCTCCGTGGTTCCTCTGTGTGTCCATACAGCGAGTTACACTGAGTCATTTTCAGCCAGCCTCGTGTTCCCAGGATATATCTTGCCGAGTCATGTGTTATCCTCACATATTACTGGATTCTCTTTGCAGAGATTATCTGTAGTATTTTATTATTTTTTTGGAGACAGGGTCTGGCTGTGTCACGCAGGCTGGAGGGCATTGGCGCAATCTCAGCTCACTGCACCCTCCACCTGCTGGGCTTAAGGAATCCTCGCACCTGAGCCCCCCGAGTAGCTGGGCTTCCAGGCACGCACCACCACACCCGGCTACTTTTTTGTATTTTTTTGTAGAGATGGGGTTTCACCGTGTTGCCCAGGTTGGTCTTGGATGCCTGAGCTCGAGGGTTCTCCCCGCCTCGGTCCCCCAACGTGCCGGAATTACAGGCGTGAGCCCCCGCCCAGCCTTGAGTGAGCTTTGCTGGTTTGTGTGTTTCGGAAACTTGCCCGTTCCCATCAGTGGGTTATTGTTGGTATTTCCTGCTCGTGACTCTGATGTCTGCAGAATCCAGTGATAGCGTCTCTCACGCTCCTGATACTGACTTTGTGTGTGATCAGTGAGGCGAGGGGCCGACGAGGTTCACTCTTCTTCCCAGGGAACCACGGGTGTTTCTCCCCTTTGTTCTGCTGTTTTCCTTGAGTATCTTCAGGCAGCGACGTGGGCCATGGACACCGCAGCCCGCGGCCTTCTGATTTTGGTGCAGCTCAAAATACTTTCTGGTTACCGTTGGGTTCCCGACCCATGGGTTCCATGGACGTGCATTTTAACCCCTGCTCCCCCATCAGCCGCCCCGTCCGATTCCTGCCAAGCAGCACAGGGCCCCTGCGGCCCACCCTGGGCCGTCTGTCCTGTGTGTCCGTCCTCCTCGTGGTCATTGTTTGCACGGTGGCTCTGACCTGGCAGCCAACCTCTGGGTCCCCACAACTTCGCAGTCTCTGCCTTCTCCTGTCGGACACCCTAAGGCAGCTGTGGCCCCCAGACCTAGCCTGGATGGGTGTGCGCCTGTCCCCACCACCGTCTGTCACCTCTGCTCCCCACCTGACCAGTGTCCACCCCCACGGCTGCCCGGCTTTGTGTCTGCGGCACAGCCAGCAGCACGCTGGGGTCGACTGCCTTCACCGTGTCCACGCCTGCTCCGGCAGTGGGAGCTCAGGTCCGTGGGGGTGACCGCGGGGAGCTCAGTGCCAGGCTGTCGGGGGCGTCTTGGAAAGCAGAGGTGTCCCCACAGGATCTCTGAGAGTCTGTGTGGTCCGTGGCCGCGCTGGGTTCCCCGGAGCAGCGCCCGACGTCACTGCCGAGACCTTAAGGGAAGGCGCGCGTCCAGTCCTCGCACTGCTGCGTGTTCTGGTCAGAACGGAAGTGGTAGCCTCCACTGGGAGCTTCTGTGCTTTGGGAGAATGTGTCTAAACTGTGGTCCTGTTTGTTCTCCAGTCCTGTGTGGACACCACGACCCAGTTGTAAACACAGGTCCCGTGCAGCTCGCTTTGGGGAAAAGGCGCGCCCGCCCAGGTCCTCTGTGTGTAGCTCACGCCCGGGGCTCCGTCCCGTCCTGGGTGGGTTTTCACCTGCACCGCAGGCCCCTCCCCCGGGAGCATTCGTGGAGCCGGCGTCCTCAGCCAGGAGCGCGTTGCTGGCTCAGCGGCTGGAGCTCAAGGTCGGCTCAGGGGACTGTCTCGTGCTGGAGGTTGGCGGCCGAGCAGCCTGTGTTTCCCGGAAAACGGCCCAGGGCCTGCTCCGCGCTGCTGGCCACGTCTTCGCCATCCCCTCGTTGCAGGTTCGAGGCCGAGCTCAGCCCCGTGGAGCAGAAGCTGAGTGCGCTGCGCTCCCCGCTGGCCCAGAGGCCCTTCTTCGAGGCGCCCTCACCGCTGGGCGCCGTGGACCTGTACGAGTACGCGTGCGGGGACGAGGACCTGGAGCCGCTGTGACGCCACCCGCGAGAACGCCGCCGCGGGGCCGCCCCCCACGTGCCACCACCGGGCCACCGCGGCTCGTGTAAAAACTGTTGTGGAAAATGAGTGCGTTTGTACGGAATGATAAACTTTTATTTATTCACAGAAGCGTGTTGATTGCCGCTGTGGGTTCGTGGCTGGACCTGCCCAGAGCCCTGTGCCCGGGGGACACGTAGGGCCGCGCGTGAATGGGACGGGTTCCCACACGGACACCCTCCAGCACTTGCCGTTCCCGACCCGGCCTGGGTTCCGGGGCCTGCGTCTGTGGAAAGGGTCCATGTGCGCACAACGGTGACCGGCGGCTCCCGGGCGCCTCAGTCCTGGACAGGAGCCTCCACCACAGGCTGTGTGAATGTTTTGTGTAAACGTACAAAACCGTTTCTGGCGATCACGCTTGTACGTTTGGAGGATTTTCAGTCACGGGCTCGGCTCCCTCAGCCACAGCGTGGCTCCGTCCAGGATTTACAAGCGTCGGTGCTGGAGGGGGACCGCGGCCACGCCAGACGCCTCGGGGTGCAGCCTGGGCCTCTCTGCGGGGCCCCTCCCCAGCCAGGGGGACCCCACCCTCGGGGCTGTTCCCTCCCGGAGCCACGGACCCAGGCCCCGTTCCACAAACGACCCCAGAAGGAAGGAGCCCACGCCAGAGTGGGGACGTCCACAGCTGGGGGACACCTAAATGAGGGGGGTCGGAGGCCCCACCAGGAGGAGCTCCCTGTGCAGGGGAGGCCACAAGCACCCCAGGGGCACCCGACGTGGATGAGCCCAGGCTCAGCTCTGCTCCCTCTGCACGCAGGTGAGGGTCACAGGTGGTGACCATGGGAACAACCCCGTCCTCACACACGACAAAACTCTCCCCCAGGAAACGGAGGTGGCAGCATCCACGCGGCAGGGCAGGGCCAAGCCGGGACCACCCCGAGAGCAGCATACGCACCCCGTTCATCCACCGGCAGCCGTTGCTGTGAAGGAGGCGGATGCACAGGGTGGTCCCGTGACCCCTGAGGAGAGACTGCGGGGGCTCCAGGTGGTGGGTAGACGAGGCAGCACCTCCCGGGGGAATGCCACTGTCCCCAAGGTGTCCTCAGTGTCACCAGGTGCTCCCCTGAATTCCCGGATGCCCCCACCTGGGTCTGCGAAGGGTCAGGACCCCCAACAACAGGACAGGTGCAGGGCAGGAGGTTCTGCCGCAGGGAAATGACACTGGGAGCCACGGCCCGCAGGGCCCACCCTGCCCTCAGCTCCGGGGAGCCCGTCTGGGAGACCATGTCCGCCCCACACCACCTCCGGACACCCCCCCCCCCCAACACACACACACCTATGAGCCGGAGCCCATGGTCATGGGAGGGCTCTGACCAGCGCCCTCAGCCTCCCCACACTGACACTGGGAGCCCCCCCAATTAGGGTTCAAGGCTGAGACATGAGAGGCCTCCCTGGGGCCGTGAAAGACAGCGTCCCCCACCCACGACGCTGGTGAGGCCCCTGCACAGCCACTGAGCATCCTCCGACATCCCTGTACCCAATGCATTCCCCCAAGTGCCCCGTCCTTCCCCAGCCACAACCCCAGATGCCCCGGGCAGTGCCGGGGCCGGGCGTGCACACCGACACCTTTGCCGGAGAAGTGGGGGGGTCCTGTCGGGGGTCCTAGTGGACGGCGGCGCTGCGGGGAGACCCAGAGCCCAGCAGTCATGCCCTCCACGTGTTCTGGGGGTCCATTCCCCCGAGGGCTCACGTGTGCAGGGGGCCAGGGACCCCACAAAACAAGCACTCGGGGCACCCTGACCGTGGCCAGCGTCCCGCCAGAAGCCAGGATGTTCCAGGGCTCAGCGCCTCACCCTCTGAATGACAATCGTGGGTCCCCCGCACTTCGTGGCCGTCACCCCTTGGAGATCCCCGAGCAGGGACCCGACCCAGCCCACCCCTCCCCTCCCTCACGGGGTGCCTTCGTGTCAGAACCAAGAGTGTTCACAGGGGCAGCCCCGGGTCCACCCAGGAGCAGCAGCATGAGCTCTGTTCGGGGAGGACCATGAAAGGTGCCAGCCACAGCCCTGAGGTCCCGGGGCACCTCCTCACGGGACAAGACACAGCTGCTCAAGGCGCAGCAGGGGTGACGGGCACCAGACCGGCATCCACAGCGCTGTCCTGAGGGGCGGCAGGGACAGTGATGGCAAGACGGGCTACCCAGAATAAGGGGACCCAGCCTGGTGGGGGGGACGGGGCCCGGAGAGCCATGAGACGGGGGAGACAGAGGAGATGGAGAGGGGGAGATGGGGGAGAACTGGGGGGCCTCAGATACAGGGGATGAGGCAAAGCCGGACCCAGCCATGGCCTGCAGCCCTGAGGTCCCGGGGCGCCTCCTCGTGGGACAGGACACAGCTCCTCGAGGTGGAGCAGAGGTGACGGGGAGCAGAGGTGACGGGCACCACAGGTTCCCAGCACTGGCACCAGACCGGCACCGAGAGCCCCGCCCAGAACAAGGGGGGACCCAGCCTGCGGAGGGACGGGGTCTGGACAGCCACGAGACGGAGGAGACGGAGAAGGGAGAGATGGAGGAAATGGAGACGGGCAAGACGGAGGGGAGGGAGGAGATGGAGAAAGGGGAGTTGGGGGAGAACGGGCGGGCATCAGATGCAGGAATGAGGCAGAGCCAGACCCAGCCGCGCTCAGCAGTTCCTAGAGAAGACACGGCTCCCGGGGGAGCGGGAGGCCTTTATGACTCAGAGCCGGGGAAGGAGCAGAGGCCGGAGGTCGTCCCCAGCACGGTGCCCACGGGCCGCCCTGCCCAGGCCGAGGGGTCGGACCCCACACGGCACAGAAGCCCCGTCTGCCGCAGCCCCGAGACACACATCCTGTGGCTGACAGCGGTGCGGCCCCTGGGCCGGCGCAGACCCCACGTGGCACAGACGGCCCCGCTGGGTCTCAAGCCTGCAGACAAGGCCACGCACCCGGCAAGACGCTGCTGCGTGGCTACAGCAGAGGGGCCTCGAACCACGTTCCCCATGACCCACGGGCAGACCCTGGCACAGCAGGGATCCCTGCGCCCTGGCGCCGTGTAGAAGTCACAGCTCCCCCAGCCTTGGCTGCCGCACACGCCACTCAGAGCCTGGGGAGCAGCCGTTCGGGTCTCGGTGAAACAGCGGCCCCAGGACGTGTCTGCGCAGCTCCTAGGCGGGGGCTGCCCCGGGTCTTCCGCACGGGGGCCTGGCCGTCGGCTGCAGCCTCCCCCGGCCCCGTGTCCTCACCATGGCGTAGCTGTCTCCACCCCGGTATCAGCTCCCGCAGCAGCCCCGGCCGCCACGAGTGGGTCCTGACCACAAGGAGGGGGGTCCTGACCACAAGGCGGGGGGTCCTGCCCGCCTCTGCCCCAGAGAACAGCCCCTCTGCGGGGACAGGGCCACCCCATCTCCCTAGCGCGGCGCTGCCTGACCTCACGGAGCAGCCATGGGGGGGACGAGGCCCCGTCGGGGGGGACGACCCCAGTGGTGCAGGGATAGGAGGTCCCGCTTGGACAAGCCCCCCACAGGCCTCCCCACAACAGGGCTTCTAGGCCCCGTCTCTCAGCCCCCAACACACAGGCCCTTGCCCCGCAACCAGGACGGGCCTGAGCGGTACCTACGGCCGACAGCCCACAGGTGCGACCACAGGGGGACGCGACCACAGGGGGACGCGACCACAGGGGGACGCGACAGCCCCTCCCCCAGGTCACAGAGGCCCCCGAGCCCCCATCCTCCTCGCCAGGGCCTCGGCCCCCAGGCACTCACACAAACCTTGCAGGAGACTCAGAGAAGTGGGGCTTAGGGAGGCAGCCCCCTAGCTATAGCGATTCCAGAAAGGCAGACTCTATGCTGTGCCTGTTTTCTGTTTGTCGCCCAGGCTGGACTGCCATGGTGCGATCTCGGCTCACTGCAGCCTCTGCCTTCTGGGTTCAAGCGATTCTCCTGCCTCAGCCTCCCGCGTAGCTGGGATCACAGGCGCCCGCCACCACCACGCCCGGCTAATTTTTGTATTTTCAGTTGAGACGGGGTTTCTCCATGTTGGCCAGGATGGTCTCAAACAACTGACCTCAAGTGATCCACCCGCCTCGGCCTCCCAAAATGCTGGGATGACAGGTGTGAGCCACCGCGCCCGGCCTTTTTTTAATAGAAAACTGGGGTCCCACCAGGCACAGGGGCTCACGCCTGTCATCCCAGCACTTTGGGAGGCCGAGGCAGGCGGATCACGAGGTCAGGAGTTAGAGACCAGCCTGGCCAACATGGTGAAACCCCGTCTCTACTAAAAATACAAAAAATTAGCCGGGCGTGGTGGCGGGCGCCTGTGATCCCAGCTACTCGGGAGGCTGAGGCAGGAGAATGGCATGAACCCGGGAGGCGGAGCTTGCAGGGAGCCGAGATCACACCACTGCACTCCAGGCTGGGCGACAGAGCGAGACTCCGTCTCAAAAAATAAATAAATGTACCATGGAAACCTGCCCCGTCCTCACCTCACCCAATGTCAGAGTCAGGGACACAGGGCATAGCCCACAGGGTAGGATGACAGGATGTCCACCCAGGCCCTGACCCTCCTGACCGCCCCTCATCCAGGGGTACCCCGACCTTTTAGGACTATGACGTGCCCTGAACACCGGGGATGTGGGGTGCCCCAATCCTTTAGGACTACGGGGTACTCTAAACATGACAGCCATGGGGTGCCCTGACCCTTTAGGACTATAGGGTGCCCAGAACATGACGGCCGGAGGGTACCCCAACCTTTTAGGGCTGCGGGACACACTTCTTAAGACTACAGCTCGGCCTACAGGAGTCCAGGGGACGCCAGGCCTATGTGGGGAGGGGGCAGAGGCAGAAAAGCGATGGGGGAGGTGCGGGGCATCGGCTGTCCCTGCCCTGAAGGGACAGATGGGGCCGCCAGGTAGGCGTGCGGCCAGGACCACCCAAGGACTCAAGGGAGAGATGGGACGGGGAGAGGGGGAGGGGGGGACGGGGAGAGGGGGAGGGGGGGATGGGGAGAGGGGGAGGGGGGGACGGGGAGAGGGGGAGGGGGGGACGGGGAGAGGGGGAGGGGGGGACGGGGAGAGGGGGAGGGGGGGACGGGGAGAGGGGGAGGGGGGGACGGGGAGAGGGGGAGGGGGGGACGGGGAGAGGGGGAGGGGGGACGGGGAGAGAGGGAGGGGGGACGGGGAGAGAGGGAGGGGGGACGGGGAGAGAGGGAGGGGGGACGGGGAGAGGGGAGGGGGGACGGGGAGAGGGGAGGGGGGACGGGGAGAGGGGAGGGGGGACGGGGGGGCGGGGAGAGGGGAGGGGGGACGGGGAGAGAGGGAGGGGGGACGGGGAGAGAGGGAGGGGGGACGGGGAGAGGGGAGGGGGACGGGGAGAGGGGAGGGGGGCGGGGAGAGGGGAGGGGGGGCGGGGAGAGGGGAGGGGGGGCAGGGAGAGAGGAGGGGAACAGGATGGGGGGGCGGGGACAGGTGCCGGAACCAGGGTCACACGTGGAAGGCCAGGACCCTGGGTCAGGGCGGGGTGGGAAGACCCGGGGTCACACGTGGGGCGGCCTCCTGACTGCAGCGTGGCCTTCAGTCGCGCTGTCACCAGCCTGTGGGACCCCTGGGGTGCAGAGAGGGAGCCAAGCCTCGGGGGCCCAGCCCGGATGCCGCCGACTCCCACCCGCCAGCCTCGCCGAGAGCCCACTGACGTGATCACTCCACAGAGATCCCATCCCGGGGTTCCGGGGCCCGTGCAGGAGAAACGCAGGTGCAGGGCCTCGTGCCCACACCGCCGGCATCTGTGCTCCACAACCAAACTCCTAGAGCCGTCATCATCCCTGGGCTGCAGCGCTGGCCGGCGACGACTCCCCGACCACCTCGCTGGGGTCACATGTCCCCGTGGGTAGAAAATCCAGTGACGGATGTAGACAAAGAGCCCTCTGCACGCCTGGAAGCCCAGCGCCTTCGGAGGCCGAGGTGGGGGGATCACCTGAGCTCAGGAGTTTGAGACCAGCCTGGGCAACGTGGCAAAACCTCGTCTCTAGGAAAAATTTAACAATCAGACGGACACGGTGGTGCGCACCTGTGATCCCAGCTACTCGGGAGGCTGAGGCAGGAGAATGGCTTGAACCCGGGAGGCAGAGGTTGCAGTGAGCCGAGATCGCCCCATTGCACTCCAGCCTGGGGGACAGAGCAAGACCCTGTTTCAAAAAAAAACCATTTAGCCATTTGCATGATGAGGACCAAGAGAATAAAAATGAAATCTCAGCAACTCACTCTCCAATTCCTGTAGGAAAATGAAATGAGAAACATACGCATGTAAAGTATTTAGTATTTCCTGCAGTTTAAGAAATAGAATCCGGGGCCGGGGCACGGTGGCTCACGCCTGTCATCCCAGCACTTTGGGAGGCCGAGGTGGGTGGATCACCTGAGGTCAGGAGTTCGAGACCAGCCTGGCCAACATGGTGAAATCCCGTCTCTACTAAAACTACAAATACTAGCTGGGTAGTGGTGGAGCATGCCTGTAATTCTAGCTTCTCAGGAGGCTGAGGCAGTAGAATCACTTGAACCTGGGAGGCGGAGGTTGCAGTGAGCCAAGATCGTGCCATTGCACTCCAGCCTGGGTGACAGAACAAGACTTCGTCTCAAAAAAAATAAATAAAAACAATGCTCATCTTTGTACGATCTAATTGTCAGTCATTTTTATTTCCTTCTGCGTTTGCTTTCAGGAGAACTTACCACCATTTTCCTGGCCACCGTCTTCCAAAACAGACGACGGCTTCACCATATCATGAAGAGATTTTCCTCTAACACACGAGAAAAACAAACTTGCAAACTGGTTATAAAACAGCCACCCCCTTGGCCGGGTGTGGTGGCGGACGCCTGTAATCCCAGCTACTCAGGAGACTGAGGCAGGAGAATAGCTTGAACCCGGGAGGCGGAGGTTGCAGTGAGCCAAGGTTGTGCCATTGCACTCCGGCCTGGGCAACAAGAGCAAAACTCCGTCTCAAAAAAACAAAACAAAACAAAACAAAAAACAAACTTGCAAACCTATTATAAAACAGCAACCCCCTGGCTGGGCACGGGGGCTCACGCCTGTAATCCCAGCACTTTGGGAGGCCGAGGCGGGTGGATCACCTGAGTTCGGGAGTTTGAGACCAGCCTGGCCAGCACGGAAAAACCCCTATCTCT